>NW_016107305.1:0-159285 GCF_000001405.40 Homo sapiens | reverse complement strand
CGCGGGAGGCAGAGGTTGCAGTGAGCCGAGATCACACCCTTGCACTCCAGCCTGGGCGACTATGAGTGAAACTCCATCTCAACATAAATAAATAAATAAATAAAGTAAAGTAAAATGGCTTTTATCTGCAAGACAGGCAAAACAAATGCTGGCAAGATGGTAGAGAAAGGAGAACCCTGGTACCCTGTTGGTAGGAATGTAAATTAGTACAACTATTATGGAGAAAAGTATGGAAAATCTTTAAAAAACTAAAAGCAGGCTGGGCATAGTGGCTTATGCCTGTAACTTCAGCACTTTGGGAAACCGAGGCAGGCACCTCACTTGAGGTCAGGAGTTTGAGAGCAGCCTGCCCAAAATTGGGATATCCCGTCTGTGCTAAAAAATACAAGAATTAGTCAGGCATGGTGGCGTGCACCTGTAATCACAGCTACTAGGGAGGCTGAGTCAGGAGAATCGTTTGAACCTAGGAAGCAGAGGTTGCAATGAGCCAAGATCGCACCACTTTGACTCCAGCTTGGACTAAGGAGGGAAACTCTTTCTCAAAAAAGAAAAAAAAAAAAAGAGAACTTTCATAGTGTCCAGCAATTTCACTACTGGGTTTATATCCAAAGGAAAGGACATCAGTGTATCGAAGTGATATCTGCACTCATATGACTGTTCCAGCACTGTTCACAGTAGCCAAGATGTGGAGTCAACCTACCTGCCTATCAGTGGGTGAATGGATAGAGAACTGTAGTACACACACACGGTGGAGACTACTCATCCATAGAAACAATAACATCCTGTCATTTGCAGCCACATGGATGGAACTCGAGGTCATTACAAAGATTCCCATTTCTCACCACATGCAGGAGATAAAAGGTGGATCTCATGAAGGTAGAGAATAGAATGGTGGATACCAGAGGCCAGGAAGGGAAGGGTGGAGGGTAACAAAAAAAAGAATATAGATGTATTTATTTATTTAGAAACAGAGTCTCTCTCTGTCTCCCAGGCTGCAGTGCAGTGGCATGATCTCGGCTCAGTGCAACCTCTGCCTCCTGGCTTTAAGTGCTTCTCCTGCCTCAGCCTCCCAAGTAGCTAGGACTACAGGTGCATGCCGGCATGCTTGGCTAATTTTTCTTGTCTGTTTAGTAAAGATGAATTTCCCGCATGTTGGCCAGGCTGATCTCGAGTCCCTGATCTTAAATGATCCACCTTTCTTGGCCTCTCAAAGCGCCAAGATTACAACCGTGAACCACCACACCCAGCATATAAAGGTATTTATGACCACTAGATTTTACTTTTAAAAATGGTAAAGTTGGTAAATTATATAGTTACATTTAACCTCAATAAATATTTTTGAAAATGAAAAGAAAAGAGTGTAGGGGTTGCTGGTGATGACATCTCTCTGTGTGGGTGAGAGGCCAGGATGGGCTTCTGGGAAATGGGTAAGGTTGAGGGGCTGAGGGAACCTCTGATCTCCCCAAACTGAGCCCAGTCTCCCCTTCTCTGGGTCTGTCCTGACCGCTTTCTCCATCTGCCTGGGTGCCTGGAGCCCTGACCATGGGCCTCCATGCAGGCCATGCAAGAGGGTTTGGAGGTGCCCTGTCTGCCATCCTGCACCCTGACCCCCCCCTCACACCCAGTCTTCGTGTTCTCTCTGCATCTGTCCATGCTTCTCCCCATCATCGGCAGGAAGCTCCTCAGCTATGGCTCTAGGATCATAAGACATGGGACAGACACGGGTTTTCCTCACCTGTGACAGAAACAAGCAGTGGGTCACTTGAGTTTGACCACACGCAGGGCAGGGCACGGAAAGAGCCGAAGCATCTGTAGGTCCCTCCGTGGGTGGCAGGGCCCAGAGGAAAGTCTGCCTGGAATGTTCTGTTGACCTTGGGCACTGCACGGAGCCTACGTTCATGGGCCTCCCCTTCCCTGGACAGATGGTAGATGTCATAGGAGCTCCAGGAGCTACAGGACAAGGTCACGTTCTCTCCTGCCTGAACCGTGGGGCCCGGCTGGGCTGAGAGAGAAGGTTTCTCATATAGACCTGGAAGGAGAAGAGGCAGTTTCCTCAGGGAGGTTCTTCCTTGTCACAGCTCCCCTCATACCTGAGCTGAGAACTCACTCCCCTGCTCTATGACCTAATGCTCTCTCTCTCTCTCACCCTCCACCCCAACTCTCTTCATGTCTATTTCCTCCTTCCGCCTTCTCTGTCTCTCTAGGTCTCTGACCTCACTTCCCCACCCCTGGGTATGCTTTCCCTTTTTGGATTGTTTTATTCTCTCTGACTCTCCTTGGATTGGTTGACTTGATCTTCCTTTTTCTATAATTCTGAGTCTCTCACTTTCTGTCTTGTTCATAACTTTCTGCATATTTCTATCTATTATCTATCTATCTATTTTGTGTCTATCTACAAATTATCTGTCATCTATATCTATGTATCATTTATCTATCAATTGTCTATCTGTCTATCCATCAATCATCTATGTATTATCTGTATCTATGTATCATCTCTCTCTCTCTCTATTACCTCTCTGTCTGCCTGTCAGTCTCTATGTATCATCTATGTATCTATATATTTATATATGTGTCTTCTATCTATCTATCTTCATCATCATCATCATCATCATCTCTATGTATCATCTATCAATCATCATCTATGTATCTATAACCTATCCATTATCTATCATCTACCTATTTATCATCTATCTATATCTATCTATCCATCTATCATCTGTCTCTCTCCATCTCCTTGTCTTTCTCTGCCTCTCAGTCTCTCTAGTTCTATTTGGAATCTCTGCAATCCATCCCCACATCTTTATCTTTCTCTGTCTTTGTGCCCCTCCCTCAGGGTTCTGATTTTGGGGCTTTTCTCTCCTCCCTTCCAGCATTCTCTCCACTCCTCTGCCCTCTTTTCTTTCTTTTTGTGTGTCTGTGAGTCTCTCAATCCCCTTCCTCTGGCTCATTCTCTGTGTGTTTATGCCTTTGCTTTTTGAAGTCCCTGATTTATCTCTGTGTCTCTCAGTGATCCTATTATATGTAGGATTATTTGGAATATGAGCCTCAGAATCTAGTCTGGGGACACCAAGTACACACAGTATTTAGGGGTTGGTGTTCTGGGGCCATGATATCCTGGGATAATTATGGCTCCACTGCATGGAAGGCAGAGGTGTCAGAATAAACATGGCATCTGTAGATGCCACAAGGCCTGAGGCCACAGGGCCCAACTCAGGTCAGAAATATGGGTGTCCTTGGGTTCTCCTCGTAGAAGCACTTTGTGGAGACAAAACAGAAATGAAACTTCTAACCTGTGCCAGGTCTCTGAGCAAAGTCAGCATGGAAGGACACTTCTCTCTGGCACATGTCTGTCTGTCTGAGTGTCTCCTTTACCTCTTTCTCTCTTTTCTACTTCCCCGTATGGCCCCTGTGTCTGTCCTCTGTTATGACACCTGGTCTGTACTTATGTCTCCTGTTTCCCTGTCTCTGTTGGTACAGACCTCACCGAGTCAGTCTCTCTCCATAAGAATCCCACGCTTATCTTCCTCATGACCACCTGGGGGTTCCAAGTCCTGGATCATTCACTCTGTGTCCCAATGACAATGAGAAGAATGTCTGGACACTCTCACCTGTGATCACGATGTCCAGGGGGTCACTGGGAGCTGACAACTGATAGGGGGAGTGAGGAACAGAACCATAACATCTGTAGGTTCCTGCAAGGACAGGCATCAAGGGACCGATGGAGAAGTTGGCCTTGGAGACCCCATCATGGATCTGTCCAACGAGGCGTGAGGGGTCCTCAGAGATCCCATCTCTGTGCAGAAAGAAGTGCTCAAACATGACATCTGACCAACATTGCAGGATGACTGTCTCTCCTGATTTCAGCAGGGGCCCTGGGTGGGCCAGGAGGGAAGGTTTTCTGTGGTTTCCTAGAAAGAGAAGTTGTGAGTTTAGAAGGCATCTCTCTTTATCATCCCATCCATGGCACCTGGAATGAGTGAGGGTTCCCCTCCCAGAGGTCTGTCTCTCTCCTCCCTCTCTGTGTCTCCGTGTCTTTTCTGTGCCCATATCCCCTGGTGCAGGTCCCTCCATTTGTCTTCCTCCCTCTTCTCTGTCCCTCTGTCTCCAGTAGCCCCTGACTCCCTTCCCACTGTGAAGAGAGCCTCATCTCTTGGGCTGTTGTATCTCTTTCCCACTAGTCTCTTTCCTGCTGTCTATGTGAGGGTGGAAGAGGACAGGCTGCATGTCCAGGCTCTCAGCAGCCTGAATCAATCTCTTTTGAACAAATTGGAGTCTCTGGCAGAGGTATCAACTCATCAGTAAGGCAGACATCAGTGTCCACACACCCTGTTCCTGATGGGGATTGGGAGCCTCTCCTGCCATGTCTGTGCCTTCTCCATGGCCCCAGCTTCCATAGGGTGGTCCCTGGTGCTGGTTCCAGGAGCATCAACCCCTTCCTATGTGGATGGAGCCTGGTGGTGGCATCAGCATCCCACCCTTGCTGATCCCACGGTAGCCAACCTTCTCCTTGTTTGGTTTCTTTAATTAATTGATTAATTAATTTATTTTTGAGACAGTCACTTTTTCACCCAGGCTGGAGTGCAGTGGTGTTGTCTTGGCTCACTGCAACCTCTGCCTCCCCGGTTCAAGTGATTCTCTTGCCTCAGCCTCCCCAGTCGTTGGATTACTCGTGCCCACCACCACACCTGGCTATCCTTGTTTGGTTTCCTAGCTTGTCCTTGACCTGGGTTCCTGTGTCGGTTTCCTGTTGCTGCTGCAGAAAATTATCACAAACATGGCAGCAGGAGAGAACACACTGACCCCTTCCACTTCTGGGGACAGAAATTGGATCCAGTTCTCCCTGTGCTGAAATCAAGGCATCTGCAGGGCTGCGTTCCCTCTGGAGACTCAGCGAATCAGTTCTCTTGACTTCTCCAGCCCTTAGAGGCCACCTGCATTCTGTGACTAGTGGCCTTCCTCCACCTTCAAAGCCCACAGTGGCTGATAGCGTCTCCCTCCCACTACACTGCTCTAATCCCCACTCCCCTCTTCCTCCACCTCTCACGCGGACCCTTGTGATTACACTGAGCCCAGCAGGACAGTCCAGGCTGTCTCCCCATCTCAAGGTCAACTCATCAACAACCTGAGCTCCACCTTCCCCTTCAGTCCCCTGCCCTATAACATAAATAGTCACAGGCTCCAGGGTTTACAATGTAGCCATCATTGGCGACAGTTATTCTTCCCACCACAGCGCCCATTTCCCCTGTATTCAATCTCCCTTGACCCCAAATACAGTTGGGGCCTGGGTGATGGGACCCTGATGGACACCCCCACCAGAAGCTCTGGGATTCAGGAGGTGGGACAGTGAGAAGCCCAGACAGAAAGCCTCTGACCTGTGACCATGATCACCAGGGGGTTGCTGGGTGCCGACCACCCAGTGAGGGAGTGTGGGCGTGAACCCCGACATCTGTAGGTCCCTGCATGTGCTGGGGTCACAGGGCCCATGATGAAGCTCTCCTGGAATATTCTGCCGTGGAAGATGGGAACGTGGCTTCTGTCTTCTTTGTACAGCATGAAATTGTTAAACCCACGACGATAGTGACACTGAAGAGCCACGTGTCCTCCTCGAGGCACCACAGTGCTGGGCCGGGCAGACAGGAAGGGTTTGTCCTGACCACCTGGGGGAGAAGGAGGCACTGCCTTAGAGAGGAGGATGTGGAGCCACCCCTCCCTCCCTGTGCTCAGAAGATTCTCCCATTTCCGCTTTCTAAGGCTCCTACCACACCTGGGTGCCCAGGGCTACAGGAAGGACCCACCCCACATAGACATGGCGTCTCCCTACAACAAGTGTCAGCTGAGAACTTTGAGCAAGTGCTGAATAAGTGACTCTTACTAGATTTTAATACTGCAAAATTACTCACATAAAACAACACAAAGTAGACACGGCATGGAGGGCATGTCCTATGTGAATGGAATATCAGCCAATTCATGAACTGAGCCCCCTCAGAGGATTTGGAATGTCAGGGCCATGGCTGTGGTTTCCCCCCTCTTCTGGTAGAAAGACCGCAGCCACACTGCAGCCCCTACCGTCACGGAAACGCTGGAGGGTGTCAGTTATACCTTTGTCCTCAGAGGACCTGCTGTTCCTAGCACTGCTTCCCTCTCTTTCTCTGCTGCTGACACCACTTCCTCCCTGCACACCCCAGCTTGGAGCACCCCAGTCTCACCCCAGTCTTCACAGAGCTTGACTCAGGAAAGGGAAAGAAAGGCCGGGGAGGGCGAGGTCAGAAATGTGGGCCGAGTATCCAAGGGTCCCCTCTTCCTAGTTTATGAGAGACTCCCCGACAGGACTTCCCTCCTGTTTCAGAAAAATCCTCTTATGTGGGGAGATGACACCCTAAGGTTTGGGGAAGGACTCACCCATGAGTGGCCAGGCCCCCTGCAGCAAGAAGAACCCTGGAAAGAAAGATCATGATAGACGATCCAACTGCAGGCAAACCAGGGCACCCTGCTGCCCCCACTGCACTGTGTGTCTTGGCAGCCAGGCCCTTGCTGGGCTGAAGGTAAACTTAGCCTCCCTGCTACCTGCTGCCAAGAACAGGGCTCTCAGCTGTGGAGAGACCCAGGCTCCAGGCCCAGATCAACACTTCCTGGCCCAGATCTCCACTCCAGGCCCATATCTCCACTCCAGGCCCCTATCTCCACTCCAGGCCCCTATCTCCACTCCAGGCCCATATCTCCACATCAGACCCATATCTCCACTCCAGGCCCAGATCTCCCCTCTAGGCCCATATCTCCACTCCAGGCCCATATCTCCACTCCAGGCCCATATCTCCACATCAGACCCATATCTCCACTCCAGGCCCAGATCTCCACCTGCAGGCCCATATCTCCACTCCAGGCCCATATCTCCACTCCAGGCCCGTATCTCCACTCCAGGCCCATATCTCCACACCCAGGCCCATATCTCCCCTCCAGGCCCATATCTGCACTCCAGGCCCATATTTACACCTCCAGGCCCATATCTCCACACCCAGGCCCATATCTCCACTCCAGGCCCATATCTCCACTCCAGGCCCATATCTTTACCTCTAGGCCGAGATCTCCATCCCCACTCTCCCTCCCTCTATTCCCTTCCAGGACTCACCAACGCACGCCATGCTGACGACAGTGAGCGACATGGTGCTGCCGGTGCAGACAGGAGGCCGCGCCCCAGCTCAGCTCAGCAGCGCACAGGATGTTATTTGGCGCCCTGCCCATGCAGTTTACATGTTGACCACATCATGGGAGGGTGACGTACGCAGGCTCTTTCTACCTTGCATGAGGCCCAGTGGGTGCTCGCTCAAGAGCGGAACATGGCTTCCTGGAAATTGTTGTGACTACAATTGCCACCTTGCATCCTTCACTATGACCAGACTCAAAAGACGTCTCAGATCCAACCTCTCACACATGAGGTGATTGAATTCTGTGCTTACATTAAAGACTTTTGATGTATTTTTGTTTTTATCTGAGATTCAAACTTTTCTTCATGTGTAATGTGCAAAATATCTAAGAGGTATTATTAACATTATCAGAGTAATTGTGACAAAAAGCCATTCTAATTTTCCTGATGAGTTTCTAGTACTAAACCTGAGGCACGAGAATTGCTTGAACCTGGGAGGCGGAGGCTGCAGTGAGCTGAGCTCAAGCCACTGAACTCCAGCTTGGGTGACAGAGGAAGAGTCTGTCTCAAGAAAGAAAAAAAAAAGCAAACTAAATAACCTATAATAACAAATCAGAGAACTCAGGTTACCAAATTTTAAGGGGTTCTATAAGTTTATATGAAATGCAGCATCCTCATGAGAGGGGATACAGAGAACCACTGGGCAGAAAACTGTGTCTAAAATACATCTGTGGATACACAGTCCCTTTATAGTTGACAAAGGCTGCCATGTAGTTTAAGGTGGAATAGAATATTTTCTCAATAAATAACACAGGACCATAGGGTTACACGTAGGAAAAAATAAATCTAAACTTATCCTCACACTATAAAAACACTTCTTATTTTTTATCTTGTTGTTGTAAACTTTTTATGCTTTATTTTTAAGATTGACAAATAAAAATTATATACTGTGGTCCTTCACTATTCCTGGGTGATTGGTTCCAGGATCCCCATTCAGATACCAAAATCTGCAGATGCTCAAGCCCCTTGCATGAAATGGCATAGCGAAGCTGGGCACCGTGGCTCACGCCTGTAATCCCAGCACTTTGGGAGGCTGAGTTGGGTAGATCACGAGGTCAGGAGTTCAAGACCAGCTGGTCCAACATTCTGAAACCCCGTCTCTACTAAAAATACACACACAAAAAAATTTATCTGTGCATGGTGGCACGTGCCTGTAATCCTAGGGGAGGCTACTGGGGAGGCTGAGGGAAGACAATCGCTTGAACCTGGGAGGCAGAGGTTGCAGTGAGCTGAGATCATGCCACTGCACTCCAGCCTGGGTGAGAGAGTGAGACTGTCTCAAAAAAAAAAAAAAATAGCATAGCAATTGCATAGAACCCATGCACATCCTCCTGTATACATGAAATCATCTCTTGATTACTTATAATTCCTGACACAGCCTACACGCCACTCAATTTGTGTCGATTCAACATAGTTTTTTGCTTCTTGAAACTTCGGGGATTTTTTTCTGAAAATATTTTTGATTTATTGTTGGTTCAATAAACACCTGTAAACCCCACAGATATGGAGGACCGACTGTATATTTATATTATGAAAGATGATATGTTGATATGTGTCCCCGTGGAGATGAGACTAACAAGGCCTATGTCTCTACAAATGTTTCATCGTGGAATGACTCTGCCAGCTTTCCAGGTCTGCAGAGAGTAAGAATATCACTTGTTCATGTGATTCACGATCCTTGGAGCCTCCTATGTGCTGTATCTTTGGATGGAAATTGGAGTCTCAGAGACAAATCAGGCTACATTCTGCTTCCAGAAGCTCAGAGTCCAGGGCTGAGAACCCAATGGAGAACAGATGGGGTTATGTGGACATGGTAATGATAACACCGGAAGCCTTAGGCAAGAAAAGAGTCTCGTTACCGAAACCATGAGGGCAGACATGTTTATTTGAAGGCGGGAAAACTACATTGAAATTATTTAAAAAATTTATAAGTTTTACTGCTGGCAGAAGGCTGAAAGATAGTCTGAAGGGAGGTGGAACAGCACGTGTCTAAGTGCTGTGTTAAGAGGCAGCCTCTTGTATGTTTGGAATTGTGAGTTCCTCAGTGTGATTGCAGCCTCAGGTAGACTAGGAAGTAAGCCAGTTAGGTTGGAGAGGTGGGCAGGGGTCAAGTGAAATGGAGAATTGTGGGCTAAGCAAAGGAGTGTGTTTTCTCTCCAGCAGGCAGTGGGGACCTTAGACATTTGTAAGCAAGAGAGAGGCATGTTCAGATTCGTGGTGTGAGGAAGAGCGATGCCCTAAGATGAAGACTGATGCCTTCAGATTCCAGCTGCTGGTACATGGGAGCTGGCAACCCGGTTTTGAGACAGGGCTGTTGTCTCCCTAGAAGATCCCCTCAAGGCCTGACTGTGGTGCTCGTGGACAGAAGACAACTTTGGATCTGGGCTCAGCATTTGGAAGTTCTATGTACATGCTGGTATCTGTTGGGGGTGTCTTGGGCCTCTCAGAAGGGCGAGTGATTTTTCTCTGTGTGAAAACACAGTGATCCAATTATGCGTATGACACCTCCTGATGGTCTTGTTCATCAGAATCCTGGAGAGAGGGAAATGCTGAGTGAGGGAGGGTGCTCACATTTTTCAGGACTCTTTGGGAATAAGACTAGCCACGAGGCTGGGCCGAGGAGCACCTACCTCGCTGTTCACTGTTCTGTTCCCTGCAGGCTCTTGGTCCATTACAGCAGCATCTGTAGAAGACGGAAGTCAACAAAAGAGCTCGGAGGGCACTTCTGGGTCCTCATTTCATAAGCAGATACCAACAAACAGGGGGAGGCCATAGGTGCCTGAGGTCCCTCAGTTGCCAACAGCAGACTCAGACATTCTATCTCTCTGAGTTCAAGGACCCATCCCATGAATAGCTCTGAGTTCCCATCCCATTGATTCTATCTCCCACTTTCTGCCTGTCATGGAACCTTCTCCTGGATGTGAGTGGCTGCAGGGGACGTGAGGATACAGTTCAGAATCAGGCAATGGTCTGTGAGCTGAAGGCAGGGGAAGGGAATCTGGTGCTCTCTCTAGAAAGTCCTGCCTCTGTGGCTCCTGTCTTGGGCCAGGGACCATCCTGCTGGTGAGGAACACACATCCGCGTGCTCCCATCCTGCTTCCCCACATGGCCCTGAGCTCTCTGGCCTCTGCTTCGTGAGACTTACTTTTTTTGTCGGAGCACCAGCGATGAAGGAGAAAGAAGAGGAGGATGGTGAAAGGGATTTTGACCACTGAGGTCCCAATCAGAACATGTAGGTGTCTGGGGTTACCTGGAAGAAGAGGAGACACCAATAAGAAGCTAATCATAGCAGTTCCTCTTTATGAATTGTCTCGCATTTCTTGATTGGCAGGTAACCACATACAACGTCTCTTTAGGACAAGCACCCAAATGGCGGGAGACCTAGCTTTCCCCTGCTTTCTCAATTATAGCTCTCATAGTAACCATAGAACGTGCTGAGGATACAACTACTTTAGTTGAGATGTTTGACCCTTTCAAACCTCACATTGAAATTTCACCCCCATTGTGGGAGGTTGGGCCTCTTCAGAGGTGTTTGGGTCATGGAGGTGGATCCATCATGAACAGATCAATGCTGTCCCAAGGAGACGGGGTTAGCAAGTTCCCCCTCTGTTAGTTCCTGGAGAGCTGGTTGTTAAAAAGAGCTTGGAAGCTCCATCGCTCCCTCTCCCCCTTACTCTCTCTCTTGCCGTGTGATCTCTGCGGTCTCTGCACAGACAGACCCTCCTTCCCTTCTGCCAGAGTGGGAGCAGCCTGAGGCCGTCAAGAGAAATAGATTCTGGTGCCATGCTTCCAGTACAGCCTGCAGAACTGTGAGGCAAACCAATCTCTTTTCTTTAGAAGTTACCCAGGCTCAAGTGTTCCTTTAGAGCAACAAAAATGGACTAAGATAGCAACATCCTGAGATCAGGAGGAATGTCTCAGAACAGCCTGGGCTGTCTTCCTGTTCTTCCTGGAGGAGGACGTCATGCAGTGCTTTAGCTGAGTGCTTCCTGTGGCTCCAGGGTACAAAACCCAGGCTGGGCTGCTTTCTGGCTTCCCCCAGTTACACTGCAAATGGGGTGACTCCATATGTCCCGAGCAGCTTTTCTGAGCCTTGAGGGACTGGCTCACATTGAAATGCAGGCTTCTGTTGTCACTCGCTGCTTATCTGTTAGTAATGAACCTGCCTATGTAACGTATCCTCTGTGTGTTCTGTCTCCCTGGAGTGACGGTGAGTGATAGGAATTGGCATAGGCCCAGGTGCAGTCCAGGATTTGTTTAGAGTCTTCTCTGGGAAGACTGCACTGGGATTGATACACAGCGAATGTGCTTTAGGATTTCTACATCCACAGCATTCTTGAGTCAAACAAATTGCATTCACCAAGGAAAGGAAACAAAGGTGAAATCACGATTAAAAATAGCGAAGCAAGATTCTCTTATGTCAAACAGCCAGAAAATAGTGTTGAAGCCCGTGTGAAATGTGCTGCTCTTTGTGATCTCGGGAGACACATGTTAGGCTGCTGTTCTACCCGAGAGGCTGGGGGAAGGACCACCCCCTCCACCATCTATTGCTTCAATACCACCTGTCCTCCTGTGAATTAGTAGGAAAGGGGAACAGGAGCTAGTGCTGTCGCTGATCTCTGATTCCAAGATCTGGACTCACTCCAAGGAATATTAATGTTTCCTCCCCATGGTCTATCTGAATCTCCACAGGTGATTGGAAGTAGGGGTGAGGTGGGCGATTTGGGTGAGTGGGCAAGTTTTTTTTTGCGATGACCAGAGCACTTTCTCTATTCCAGGATCCGTGCTGGAGGATTCAGCGGGCTTTCACATTTTCTATGTGATCTCATGCTCACAGAAAGCCAAATAGGGAAGAGGTTTTAGGCTGATTGCCTAATGGATAAGATAAAGGATCAAAGAAGTAATTATAGAGAAATAGAAAAATGATGATTGGAATTCAGGTGCCTTTGTCATTCGTGTGTGTTTTATTATATTTATGCATTTCTTATTTTTATTTTTTGAGACGGAGTCTCCTTGTGTCACCCAGGCTGGAGTGCAGTGATGCAATCTCCACTCACTGCAACCTCCACCTCCTGGGTTGAAGTCATTCTCCTGCTTCATCCTCCAGAGTAGGAGCTGGGATTACAGGGATGCACCACCATGCTCGGCTAATTTTTGTATTTTTAGTACAGATAGGGTTTCACCATGTTGGCCAGGCTGGTCTGGAACTCCTGACTTCATGGAATCCACCCGCCTTGGCCTCCTGCAGGGCTGGGTTACAAGCATGAGCCACCGTTCACAGACTTGTATATTATGCTATAATAGGTCCCTTCATTTCCACCACCCCTCATATATCTGTCACTCCTTTGCCAGGTATTGATTTATGTGTAGGATGAATAAATCTCAGAAAGAAATTAATTAAGCGAGGATTAAACAAGTAGGAAAATCAAACCCAGCAAGCCTTTCCAGCCAATGATTCTACCTCACAAGCATATCTTATATCCATCTACTTCATTCATTTAGTGTCTAAATCAGCACCACATTTCACCAGTGGGGCGGCAATTGCCTTTTCCACAGTCTCCTAGATTCCAGTTACGCACCTGGGCCTCCCTTATTTTCTTGTCAGTCACTATTAATCATGTAGGGATTCCTGGTTACCCCGAGGTGAATCCAATGGCTGTGAGTGTCAAACACACACTCCTTGTTCCTCCTTAGTTTCCTGTGTACCCAGAGTGCTCTCCATCTCTCTACAGTCATCTTGTCATTCTCCCCACCTCATTCCCAGCATTTCAGGCAGAGCCTCTTCCTTCAACATCAGATTGTTTTCACCTTTGTGCCTTCACAGCTGACAGCTGTGTGTGGAAAATCCTTCCGCCAATCTTTCAGGGGTTCAATCCGTGTTTTTCATTAATGTCACAAATATCTGATTAGTGAGACCTTCTCTGTCACCCAAAATTATACACTCAGCATTATCTATTATTTATTTTGAATTCTGGCTGGGCAAAGTGGCTCACGCCTGTAATCCCAGTACTTTGGGTTGCTGAGATGGTCGGATCACTTGAGGTTGGGAGTTTCAGACAAGCTTGGCCAACATGGTGAAACATCCTCTCTACAAAAAATATACAAAAAGAATTAGCCGGGCATGGTGGCAGTTGCCTGTAATCCCAGCTACTCGAGAGGGTGAGGCAGGAGAATCACTTGGATCCAGGAGACGCAGGTTGCAGTGAGCCAAGATCGTGACACTGCACTGTAGCCTGGAAGACAGAGGGAGACTCTGTCTCAATAAACAAACGAACAAACAAACAAATAGATTTCATGCACAGATGCTTCCCAATGGATCATTCATTTATTGGTCCACTTGTGCATTCATTTTCTGTCCTCCCATTTAACCATCTGCAATATCAGTGTCCCAAGAGCAGAGGCCAAATGCATCTTGTTCACCATTTGTGGAAGGCAGGAGAATGCTGTCCCACCCCAAAATGTCCCTGTCCTAGCCTCCATAGCTTGTGAATATGTTATTTTACATGGAAAGGAGGAATGAAGATTGCAGATGGAATTATGGTTGCTAATCAGCTGAACTTAAAACAAGGGTATCCTGAATGATTTCCGGGAGATTATGACGGATTTTCATCTTGGTGAACCCAATAGAATCCCCAAGTTTTCAAAAGATGAGGAAGAAGGGAGAGCAGCATTCAGAGAAAGAGGTGTGGTAAGGAAGAAGGGTCTGAGTGATGCCATGTGAGATGTGACCAGTCTTTGTGGGTTTTGAGGAAGGAGGAAAGGGACCAGCAGCCAAGGAACTGGGAGCCTTTATAAGATGGGACAAGTGAGAAGCAGATTCTTGCCTGGAATCCTCAGAGGGAAGGCAGGCTTGCTGTCATCTTGATTTTAGCCCAGTGAGATGCACTTCATGCTTTGAGCTAGAGCACTGTAAGATAATTAAATAACCGTTTTGTTTTCACCCACGAATCTTGTGGAAATTTGTTATGGCAACAATAGGAAAAGCTTCCACACTGCACAACCTGAGCATGGGGCCGTGGCTGAATAAGTCAGTGAGTCAAAGTGTGCGTGCATGAGCTCTGTTCTCTGTTACGGCAAGGCTCTTGCTCTGCTGAGTCAGCCAGGGTTGTTTCATGACCAACAGGAGCTCATTCCTTGGCAAGTGGAACTTCTCTAAAACACCTCGCCCTCATCAGATGTTCGCTTCCCTTCCCTCTCTCAAGCCCCCAGGAATTTATCCTCCAGTTAGGAATGCAAGCAGAACAAACATTGCGTTTTTCCTGAGAAGGATGTCAGATTGGCAATCATTCTTCTAGCTTGTAGGAGGTCTCAGCTCCATAAAATGAGAGATGAAGAGATTTCACTGAGCCCTGTGTTGGGCCCAGATCCCTTTCGCTGTTGGAGTATCTGGAGTTCGGAGATGGTAGAAGACAGGCGTACAATGTCAGAGCTGTGAGATGCTGAGTCAACGCCTGAATCCAAGGTTTCCACCTCCCCAGGGTTCCAAAAGCGGATATAAGAGGGTCCTGTACTCACCGGTTTTGGAGCTTGGTTCAGTGGGTGAAGGCCAACTATTTGAAGGGTTTCCTAGAACATGAGACAGGAGAGAGGTGAGGAAATGAGGGTGTCTGTCCTCTACTCAGTGGAAATCTTTGAGTTTGGTTCATGGCCAACACTCTGTTATCTAACATTGGGCCCTGGGAGTCCAGGGATCCTTTCTTCCATAATTTTTGTATGTGACGCCCACTGTCTTGAGACTTCAAGGTATAAAGAGAAAACAGGAGCATCACACTACCTGATCTCAAAATATGTTACAGAGCTGTAGTAAGCAAAACAGCATGATGTTGGCATGAAGAAAGGCACATAGAACAACGGAGCAGAATGAAGAACACAGATATAATCCATGCATTTACATCCAATTTTTTTTATTTTTTCTTTTGAGATGGAGTCTTGCTCTGTCACCCAGGCTGGAGTGCAGAGGTGCAATCTCGGTTCACTGCAACCTCAGCCTCCTGGGTTCAATCAATTCTCTTGCCTCAAACTCCTGAGTAGTAGTATTACAGGTGCTGACCACCATGCTCAGCTAATTTTTATATTTTTAGTGGAGACGATGTTTCATCACGTCGGCCAGAGTAATCTTGTACTCCTGTCCTCAGGTGATCCACCAGCCTTGGCCTCCCAAAGTGCTGAAGTTGCTGGTGTTAGCCACCATGCCCAGCCCATCCAATGGACTTTGACAAAGGTGCCAAGAACTCACAATCAGGAAAGGACAGTTTTTTCAATAAACAGTGCAGGGAAACCTGGACATCTACATGCAGAGGAATGAAACTGCACCTCTACCTGTCACCATACACAAAAATCAAATGAAAGTGGATTAAAGATGTGAGTCTAAGGCCTGAACCTGTGAAACACGTAGAAGAAAATATTGGGGAAATGCTCCAGTACATTTGTCTGAAGGAAGACATTTTGTTTTAAACCTTCAAAACACAAGTAATCGAAGCAAAAATAGACCATTGGGATTACCTCAAACTAAGCAACTTCTGCACCGCTAAAAATAAACCAACAAAGTGAAGAGACAACCCACAGATTGGGAGCAAATATGTGCAAACTATGCATCTGAGACGGGATTAATAACTAGAAGTATAAGAAGCTCAAACAACTCAATAAAACAAATGATTTAATTGAAAAAGGAGCAAAAGACATGAAATTTCCCCACATACGAAAAAGTGCTCAGTATCACTCATCATCAGAGAAACGCGAATTAAAATCAAAGTGAGTTTTCATCTCACCCCATTAAAATGGCTTTTAGGCCGGGCGAGGTGGCTCACGTCTGTCATCCTAGAACTCTGAGAGCCCGAGGTGGGCGAATCTCATAAGGTCGGGAGTTTGAGACCAGTCTGACCCACATGGAGAAACGCTGTCTCTACTAAAAATACAAAAATTAGTCGGGCGTGGTGGTGTGTGCCTGTAATTCCAGCTACTCGGGAGGCTGAGGCAGGAGAATCGCTTGAACCTGGGAGGTGGAGGTTGCGGTGAGCCGAGATCGCACCACTGCACTCCAGCCTGGGTGACAAGAGCGAAACTCCATCTCAAAATAAAATGAAATAAAATAAAATGGCTTTTAGCTGCAAGACAGGCAAAACAAATGCTGGCAAGGTGGTAGAGAAAGGAGAACCCTGGTACCCTGTTGGTAGGAGTGTAAATTAGTACAGCCATTACGGAGAAAAGTATGGAAGTCCTTTAAAGAACTAAAAAGAGGTTGGATGAAGTGGATCATGCCTGTAATCCCGGCACTTTGGGAGACCGAGGCGGGCACCTCAGTTGAGGTCATGAGTTTGAGAGCAGCCTAGCCAACCTGGGGAAACCCCATGTACACTAAAAAAAACCAAAAAGTATCCCGGCATGGTGGCGTGCACCTGTAATCCCAGCTACTAGGGAGGCTGAGGCAGGAAAATCATTTGAACCCAGGAGGCGGAGGTTGCAATGAGCCAAGATCACATCACTTGTACTCCAGCCTGGGCACAGAGGGAAACTGTCTCAAAAACAAAAACAAAACAACAAACGAAAAACTAAAAAGAGAACTTTCATAGTATCCAGCAATTTCACTACTGGGTTTATATCCAAAGGAAAGTAAATCAATGTATCGAAGTGATATCTGCACTCGTATGATTGGTGCAGCACTCTTCACAGTAGCCAAGATGTGGAGTCAACCTACCTGCCCATCAGTGGATGAATGGATAGAGAGAATGTAGTACATACGCACAGCGGAGACTACTCATCCATAGAAAGAATAACATCCTGATATTTGCAGCCACATGGATGGAACTGGAAGTCATTACAAATATTCTCATTTCTCACCCATATACAGGAGCTAAAAGGTGGATCTCATGAAGATAGAGAGTAGAATGGTGGCTACCAGAGGCCAGGAAGAAAAGGGTGGAGGATAAAACAAACAAACAAAAAATTTATATGTATGTATTTATGACCACTAGACCTTACACTTAAAATTGGTAAACGTGGCCGGGCGCGGTGGCTCATGCCTGTAATCCCAGCACTTTGGGAGCCTGAGGCGGGTGGATCACGTGGTCAGGAGTTCCAGAGCAGCTCGACCAACATGGTGAAACCCCCTCTCTACTAAATATACAAAAAGTAGCCCGGCGTGGTGATGGGCGCCTGTAGTACCAGCTACTCAGGTGGCTGAGGCAGGAGAATCGCTTGAACCCAGGAGGCGGAGGTTACAGTGAGCTGAGATTGTGCCACTGCATTCCAGCATAGGAGACAGAGCTAGACTCCACCTCAAAAAAAAAAAAATGTTAAAAGTGGTAAGCTATATAGGTATATTTAACCTCAATGAATATTTTTTCAAACAAAAAGAAAAGGATGTAGGGGTTGCTGGTGATGACATCTCTGTGTGGGTGAGAGGCCAGGAAGGGCTTCTGGGAAATGGGTAAGGTTGAGGGGCTGAGGGAACCTCTGATCTCCCCAAACTGAGCCCAGTCTCCCCTTCTCTGGGTCTCTCCTGACCGCTTTCTACATCTGCCTGGGTTTCTGGAGCCCTAATCGGAGGCCTCCATGCAGGCCATGCAGGAGGGTTTGGAGGTGCTGTGTGTGCCATCCTGCGCCCTGATCCCTCCCTCACAGGCATGCTGCGTCTTCTCTCTGCATCTGTCCATGCTTCTCTCCATCATCAGCAGGAAGCTCCTCAGCTAAGGCTCTAGGATCATAGGACATGGGACAGATATGGGGTTTCCTCACCTGTGACGGAAACAAGCAGTGGATCACTCGAGTTTGACCACTCGTAGGGAGCGTCACGGAAAGAGCCGAAGCATCTGTAGGTCCCTCCGTGGGTGGCAGGGCCCAGAGGAAAGTCGGCCTGGAATGTTCCGTTGATGCTGCGCACTGCAGGGAGCCTACGTTCATGGGCCTCCCCTTCCCTGGATAGATGGTACATGTCATAGGAGCTCCGGGAGCTGCAGGACAAGGTCACATTCTCTCCTGCCTGAACCGTGGGGCCCGGCTGGGCTGAGAGAGAAGGTTTCTCATATAGACCTGGAAGGAGAAGGGGCAGTTTCCTCAGGGGGGATCTTCCTTGTCACAGCTCCCCTCACACCTGACCTGAGAACTCACTCCCCTGCTCTATGGCCTAATGCTCTCTTTCTCTGTCTCACCCTCCACCCTATCTCTCTTCATGTCTATTTCCTCCTTCCACCTTCTCTGTCTCTGTAGGTCTCTGACCTCACTTCCCTACCTCTAGTTATGTTTTCCTTTTTTGGATTGTTTTATTCTCTCTGGCTCTCCTTGGATTGGTTGACTTGATGTTACTTTTTTTAACTCTGAGTTTCTCAGTTTGTGTCCCGTTCATAACTTTCTGCATATTTCTATCTATTATCTATCAATCCATCTATTTATCTATTCGGTGCCTATCTACAAATTCTCTACCTGTCATCTATATCTATATATCATCTATTTATCTATCAATTGTCTATCCGTCAATCATCTATTATCTATATATATGTATCATCTCTCTCTCTCTATTATTTCTCTCTTTGTCTTCCTCTCTATCTCTATGTATTATCTATCCATCTATCTTCATCATCATCATCTCTATGTATCATCTATTAATGAATCAATCAATCATCATCTATGTATCTATAACCTATTATCTATCATCTACCTATATATCATCTATCTATATCTATCCATCATCTATCTGTATCTATCCATCTATCATCTGTCTTGCTCTGCCTCTCGGTCTCTCTAGTTCTCTTTGGAATCTCTGCAATTCATCCCCACATCTCCATCTTTCTATGCCCTTGTGCCTCGCCCTCAGGACTCTAATTTTAGTGGTTTTCTCTGCTCTCTTCCATCATTCTCTCCACTTCTCTGCCCTCTTCTCTCTCTTTATGTGTCTGTGAGTCTCTCAATCTCCTTCCTCTGGCTCTTTCTCTGTGTGTTTATGTCTTTGCTTTTTGGTGTCCCTGATTTCTCTCTGTGCTTCTCAGTGATCCTCTCATATGTGATATGTGGGGTTATTTGGAATGTGAGCCTCAGAATCCAGTCTGGAGACCACAAGTTCACACAGCATACAGGGGTTGGTGTTCTGGGGCCATGATATTTTGGGACGATTATTCTCCATTGCATGGAAGTCAGAGGTGTCAGAATAAGCATGGCATCTGTAGGTGCCACAAGGCCTGAGGCCACAGGGCCCAACTCAGGTCAGAAATATGGGTGTCCTTGGGTTCTCCTGGTAGAGAACACTTTGTGGAGGTAAAACAGAAATGAAACTTCTAACCTGTGCCAGGTCTCTGAGCAAAGTCAGCATGGAAGGACACCTCTGTCTGGGACATGTCTGTCTGTCTCCTTTAACTCTTTCTGTCTTTTCTAACTCCCGGTATGGCCCCTGTGTTTGTCCTCTGTTATGACACCTGGTCTGTACTTGTGTCTCTTGTTTCTCTGTCTCTGTTGGCACAGACCTCACCAAGTCAGTCTCTCTCCATAAGAATACCAAGCTCATCTTCCTTACAACCACCTGGGTCTCCAAGTCCTGGATCATTCACTCTGCATCCCAATGACAATGAGAAGAATGTCTGGACACTCTCACCTATGATCACCATGTCCAGAGGGTCACTGGGAGCTGACAACTGATAGGGGGAGTGAGGAACAGAACCGTAGCATCTGTAGGTTCCTGCAAGGACAGGCATCATGGGACCAATGGAGAAGTTGGCCTTGGAAACCCCATCATGGTGCTCTCCAATGAGGTGCAAAGTGTTGTTAAACTTCCCCTCTCTGTGCAGAAGGAAGTGCTCAAACATGACATCCGACCAACATTGCAGGATGACTGTCTCTTCTGATTTCACCAGGTGACCTGGGAGGGCCAGGAAGGAAGGTTTTCTGTGGACTCCTAGGAAGAGAGGTTGTGAGTTTAGAAGGTGTCTCTCTTTATCATCCCATCCATGGCACCTGGAATGAGTGAGACTTCCCTTCGCTGGTGTCTGTCTCTCTGCTTCCTCTCTGTGTCTTCATGTTCTTTTCTGTGCCCATAACTCCTGGTGCAGGTCCTTCCATCTGTCTCCCTCCCTCTTCTCTGTCCCTCTGTCTCTAGTAGCTGTGATTCCCTTCCCACTGGGCTCAGCCTCATCTCTTGGGCTGTTGTATCTATTTCACACTAATGTCTTTCTTACTGTCTATGTGGGAGTGGAAGAGGAAGCAGGATAGGCTGCACGTCCCGGCTCTTAGCAGCCTGGTTCAATCTCTTTTGGACGAATTGGAATCCTTGGCAGGAGGTATGAACTGATCAGTAAGGCAGGCACCAGTGTCCACACACCCTGTTCCTGGTGGGGACTGGGAGCCACTCTTGCCATGTCTGTGCCTTCTCCATGGTGCCAGTTTCCATAGGCTGGCTCCTCGTGCTGATTTGAGGAGTATCAACCCCTCCCTATGTGGATGGAGCCTGGTGGTGGCATCATCATCCCACCCTTGCTGATCTCGGTGTAGCCAACCTTCTCTTTGTTTGGTTTCTTTAATTAATTAATTAATTTTGGAGACAGAGTCTCACTCCTTCACCCAGGCTGGAGTGAAGTGGTGTGGTCTACGCTCACTGCAACCTCTGTCTCCTGGGTTCAAGCGATTCTCCTGCTCTCAGCCTCCCGAGTCGCTAGGATTACATGCACCTGCCACCATGCCTGGCTATCCTTGTGTCTTTTCTTAACTTGTCCTTGACCTGGGTTCCAGTGTTGGTTTCCTGTTGCTGCTGTAGAAAATTATCAGAAGCATGGCAGCAGGAGAGAGCACACTGACCCCCTCCGATTCTGGAGACAGAAAGCGGACCCTGTTTTTCGAGGGCTAAAATCAAGGCATCTGCAGGGCTGTGTTCCCTCTGGAGACTCAGGAGAATCAGTTACTTGACTTTCCCAGCCTCTATAGGCCACCTGCATTCATGGCTTATGGCCTTCATCCACCTTCAAAGCTAATGGAGTCTCCCACTACGCTGCTCTAATCCCCACTCTCCTCTTCCTCCTCCTTTCATGTGGACACTTGTGATTATATTGAGCCCACCGGGACAGTCCAGGCTGTCTCCCCATCTCAAGGTCAACTCATCAACAACCTGAGCTCCATCTTCCCCTTCAGTCCCTTCCCCTATAACATAAATAGTCACAGACTCCAGGGATTAGAATGCAGTCATCACTGGGGACACTTATTCTTCCCACCACAGCACCCATTTCCCTGTATTCAATCCCCCTTTACCCCAAATACAGTTAGGGCCTGCGTGATGGGACCCTCAAGGACATGCCTACCAGAAGCTCTGGGATTCAGGAGGTGGGACAAGGAGAATCCCAGACAGGAGCCCTCTGACCTGTGACCATGATCACCAGGGGGTTGCTGGGTGCCGACCACCCACTGGGGGAGTGTGTGTGTGAACCCCGGCATCTATAGGTCCCTGCATGTGACGGGGTCACAGGGCCCATGAAAAGGCTTTTCCAGAATATTCTGTTGTACAGCTCAGGGACAGGCACCCCATCATCCTTGTACAGACTGAAGTTGTTAAACCCAAGATTAGAGTGACACTGAAGAGTCACATGTTCTGGAGGCACCACAAGGCTGGGCCAGGTAGAAAGCAAGGGCTTGTCCTGACCACCTTGGGGTGAAGGAGGCGCCGCCTTAGAGAGGAGGATGTGGAGCTGTGCCTCCCTCCCTGTGCTCAGAAGATTCTCCCCACTTTCCACATTTCTATGGCTGCTATCACACCTTGGTGCCTAGGGCTAAAGGAAGGACCCATCCCACAAAGACAAGGTGTCTCCGTACAACAAAAGTGTCAGCTGAGAACTTTGAGCAAGTGCTGAGTAAGAGACTCCTACTAGATTTTAATACTGTAAGATTACTGACATAAAACAACACAGGGTAGACATGAAGTGGAGGGCATGTCCTTTGAGAATGGAATATCAGCAGTTGCCTGAATGAAAATAAAAAACTTAGCCCCCATCAGAGGATTTGGAATGTCAGGGCCATGGCTGTGGTTTCCCACCTCTTCTGGTAGAATGACAGCAGCCACACTGCAGCCCCTACCGTCATGGAAACGCTGAAGTGTGTGAGTAACACCTTTGTCCTCAGAGGATCTGCTGTTCCTACCACTTCCCCACCACACAACCCAGCTTTGAACACCCTAGTCCAACCCTGGTCCCCACACAACTTGACTCTGCCAAGGGGTTGAGAGGCCAGGGAGGCAAGGTCGGAACTGTGGGCCGAGCACCCCAGGGTCCCCTCTTCCTAGTTTATGAGAGACTCCCTGACAGGACTTCCCTCCCGTTTCAGGAAAATCCTCTTATGTGGGGAGATGACACCCTAAGGTTTGGAGAAGGACTTACCCTCCTGTGGCCAGGCCCCCTGCAGCAAGAAGAACCCTGGAAAGAAAGATCATGATGGAAGATCCATTTGCAGGCAAACAAGGCCTTCCTTGCTGCCCCCACTGGGCTGTGAGTCTTGATAGCCAGCCCCTTCCTGGGCCGAAGGTAAACTCACCATCAGTGCCTACCTGCACCCAAGAACAGTGCTCTCGGCTGTACAGAGACCCAGCCTCCAGGCCCATATCCCCACCCCAAGCCCATATCTCCACTCCAGGCCCATATCTCCACTCCAGGCCGATATTTCCACCCTAGACCCATATAGCCAATCCGGGCCCACATCTCCAATCCAGGCTCAGATCTCCACCCTCGGCCCATATCTCCAATCCAGGCCCATATCTCCACTCCAGGCCCATATCTCCACTCCAGTCCCATATCTCCTCTCCAGTCCCATATCTCCACTCCAGGCCCATATCTCCACCCCAGGCCCAGATCTCCACCTCCAGGCCCATAACTACACTCCAGGATCATATCTCCACTCCAAGCCCATATCTCCACATCAGGCCCATATCTCCACTCCAGTCCCATATCTCCACACCCAGGCCCATATCTCCATTCCAGGCCCATATCCCCATCCTAGGCCCATATCTCCACCGTAGGCCCAGATCTCCACTCCAGGCCCATATCTCCACTCCAGGGCCATATCTCCACTCCAGGCCCATATCTACACACCAGGCCCATATCTCCACCCCATGCCCATGTCTCCACTCCAGACCCATATCTCCACCCCACGCCCATATCTCCACTCCAGGCCCATATCTCCAACCCACGCCCATATCTCCACCTCCAGGCACATATCTCCACCCCACGCCCGTATCTCCACTCCAGTCCCATATCTCCACTCCCGGCCCATGTCTCCACCCCATGCCTATATCTCCACTCCAGTCCCATATCTCCACTCCAGGCCCATATCTCCACTCCAGACCCATATCTCCACTCGGCCCATGTCTACACTCCAGGCCCATATCACCACCTCCAGGCCCATATCTCCACTCCAGGCCCATATCTCCACCTCCAGGCCCGTATCTCCACTCCAGACCCATATGTCCACTCCAGGCCCATATCTCCACTCCAGGCCCATATCTCCACTCCAGGGCCATATCTCCACTCCAGGCTCATATCTCCACTCCAGGCCCATATCTCCACTCCAGGGCCATATCTCCACTCCAGGCTCATATCTCCACTCCAGGCCCATATCTCCACTCCAGGGCCATATCTCCACTCCAGGCCCAGATCTCCACCTCCAGGCCCGTATCTCCACTCTAGTCCCATATCTCCACTCCAGGCCCATATCTCCACCTCCAGGCCCATAACTTCACTCCAGGCCCATAACTCCACTCCAGGCCCATATCTCCACCTCCAGGCCCATATCTCCACTCCAGGGCCATATCTCCACTCCAGGCTCATATCTCCACTCCAGGCCCATATCTCCACTCCAGGGCCATATCTCCACTCCAGGCCCAGATCTCCACCTCCAGGCCCCTATCTCCACTCTAGTCCCATATCTCCACTCCAGGCCCATATCTCCACCTCCAGGCCCATAACTTCACTCCAGGCCCATAACTCCACTCCAGGCCCATATCTCCACCTCCAGGCCCATATCTCCACTGCAGACCCATATCTCCACTCCAGGCCCATATCTCCACTCCAGGCCCAGATCTCCACTCCAGGCCCAGATCTCCACTCCAGGCCCAGATCTCCACCTCCAGGCCCCTATCTCCACTCTAGTCCCATATCTCCACTCCAGTCCCATATCTCCACCTCCAGGCCCATAACTTCACTCCAGGCCCATAACTCCACTGCAGACCCATATCTCCACTCCAGGCCCATATCTCCACTCCAGGACCATATCTCCACTCCAGGCTCATATCTCCACTCCAGGCCCGTATCTCCACCTCCAGGCCCATAACTTCACTCCAGGCCCATAACTCCACTCCAGGCCCATATCTCCACTCCAGTCCCATATCTCCACTCCAGCCACATATCTCCACCCTAGGCTCCTACCTCCCCTCCAGGTTCCTATCTCTCCTCCAGGTTCCTCTCTCCACTCCAGGTTCCTATCCCCACTCCAGGCCCATATCTCCACTCCAGGCCCAGATCTTCACTCCAGGCCCAGATCTCCACTCCAGGCGCAGATCTCCACTTCTAGGCTCATCACTCCATCTCTAGGCCCAGATCTCCACTCCAGGCCCATAACTCCACCTCCAGGCCCATATCTCCACCTCTGGGCCCAGATCTCCATCCCCACGCTCCCTCCCTCTATTCCCTTCCAGGACTCACCAACACACGCCATGATGATGACCATGAGCGACATGGTGCTGCCGGTGCAGACAGGCGGCCGCGCCCCAGCTCAGCTCAGCAGCACACAGGATGTTATTTGGCGCCCTGCCCATGCAGTTTACATGTTGACCACATCATGGGAGGGTGACGTACGCAGGCTTTTTCTACCTTGCATGAGGCCCAGTGGGTGCTCGCTCAAGAGCGGAACATGGCTTCCTGGAAATTGCTCTCACTAGAATTGACACCTCGCGTCCTTCACTATGACCAACTCAAAACATGTCTTAGATCCAACCTCCCAAACATGAGATGCCTAAAATCTGTGCTAACATGAAAGACTTTTCATGAATTTTTATTGTTTTTATCTGAGATTCGAACTCTTCTTCCTGTGTAATATGCAAAATATCTAATAGGTATTATTAGTGTTTTCAGAGTCATTGTGACTAATAAACCATTAGAATTGTTCATGCTTGTATTTCTAGTATTACAGCAGAACCAGTTCAAATGATTTAAATTCCCAGGGAAGGATTATGCAATTATTTACAATCTTAGAATTGTACTTTATCAGCAAAAACCACACATGTAAATTCTGGATTTTTGTAGTTTTATCTATAATTTGTCTCATGACTCAAGATTCCAGAGTCCCAACTTTGGAGTTTGCTCTCTCTCTGTCTCTCTGCCTCCCTCATTTTAAATTTTACAGAAATATCCAGTAACATAATGCTATAGAAAATCAAGTTTCCCCCAGCAGGTCGGGAAGCCGAGGTGGGCGGATCAACTGAGATGAGGAGATTGAGAGCAGCCTGGCCAACATAGTGAAACCGTGTCTCTGCTAAAAATCCAAAAATTAGCCGTGCCTGGTGGCAGGCACCTGTAACGCCAGCTACTCAAGAGGCTGAGGCACGAGAATCGCCTGAACCTGGGAGGCGGAAGTTGCAGTGAGCTGAGATTGCTCCACTACAGTCCCGCCTGGGCGACAGAGCAAGACTCCGCCTCAAGAAAAAAAAATAGCAAGTAGCCTATAATAACAAATTAGAGGGCTCTGGCTACTAAATTTAAAGGGTTTTATAAGGCTACATGAAGTGCAGCATCCTCAAGAGTGTGGACACAGAGAGCCCCTTAGCAGAAACAGTGTCTAAAATACATCCGTGTACACACAGTCCCTTTAGAGTTGACAAAGGCTGCCGTGTGGTTTAAGGTGGCATAGAATGTCTTCTTAATAAATAATATTAAACCAAAGGGTTACACGTAGGAAAAAATAAATCTAAACTTATTCTCACACTATAAAAACACTTCTTACTTTTTATCTAGTTATTGTACATTTTTTATGATTTATATTTAAAATTGAGAAATAAAAGTCATATACGGTCATCCTTTACTATTCGTGGGTGATTGGTTTCAGGATCTCCACTCAGGTACCAAAATCTGCAGATGCTCAAGCCTCTTACATAAAATGACACAGCATTTGGATATAACCCATGCACATCCTCCTGTATACATGAAATCATCTCTTGATTACTTATAATTCCTGATACAGCCTACACACTGCCTCATTTGTGTCCATTCAACATAGTTTTGCATTTTGAAACTTTGTGGACATTTTCTCTGAATATTTTTGATTTACACTTGGTTCAATAAACACCTGTAAACCCCACAGATATGGAGGAGCGACTGTATATTTATAGTATGAAATATGATGTGTTGATATGTGTCCCCGTGGAGATGAGACTAGCAAGGCTTATGACTCTACAAATGTTTCATCGTGGAATGACTCTGCCAGCTTTCCAGGTTGCAGAGAGTAAGAATATCACTTGTTCATGTGATTCACGATCCTTGGAACCTCCTATGTGCTGCATCTTTGGATGGAAATTGGAGTCCCAGAGACAAATGAGGCTCCACCCTGCTTCCAGAAGCTCAGAATCCAGGGGTGAGAACCCAGCGGAGAACAGATGGGGTTATGTGGACATGGTAATGATAACAGCGGTTTCTTTCAGCGAATACAGTGTCACATTACCTGAAGCAATGAGGGCAGACATGTTTATTTGAAGAGGAGACAGCTACATTGAAATCACAAAAAATTTTATAAGTTTCACTGCTGACAGAAGGCTGGAAAATAGTCCGAAGAAAGGTGAAACAGCATGAGGGAAGGTGGAACAGCACGTGGGTAAGTGCCACGTCAAGAGGGAGCCTCTTGTATGTTTGGAATTGTGAGTTCCTCAGTGTGATTGCAGCCTCAAGTAGACTAGGAAGTAAGCCAGTTAGGTTGGAGAGGTGGGCAGGGGTCAAGTGAAATGGAGAACTGTGGGCTAAGCAAAGGAGTGTGTTTTCTTTCCAGCAGGCAGTGGGGACCTAGACATTTGTAAGCAAGAGAGAGGCACCAGATTTGTGGCGTGAGGAGGAGCGATGCCCTAAGATGAAGACTCACGCCTTCAGATTCCAGCTGCTGGTACATGGGAGCTGGCAACTCGGTTTTGAGACAGGGCTGTTGTCTCCCTAGAAGACGTCCTCAAGGCCTGACTGTGGTGCTCATGGGCAGGAGACAACTTTGGATCTGGGCTTAGCATTTGGAAGTTCCGTGTACAAGATGGTATCTGTAGGGGGTGTCTTGGGCCTCTGAGAAGGGCGAGTGATTTTTCTCTGTGTGAAAACGCAGTGATCCAACTGTGCGTATGTCACCTCCTCAGGGTCTTGTTCATCAGAGTCCTGGAGAGAGGGAAATGCTGAGTGAGGGAGGGAAATGCTGAGTGAGGGAGGGTGCTCACGTTTTCCAGGACTGTTTGGGAATAACACTAGCCACGAGGCTGGGCCGAGGAGCACCTACCTCGCTGTTGGCTGTTCTGTTCCCTGCAGGCTCTTGGTCCATTACAGCAGCATCTGTAGGAGACGGAAGTCAACAAAAGAGCTCGGAGGGCACTTCTGGGTCCTCATTTCATAAGCAGATACCAACAAACAGGGGGAGGCCATAGGTGCCTGAGGTCCCTCAGTTGCCAACAGCAGACTCAGACATTCTATCTCTCTGAGCTCAAGGACCCATCCCATGAATAGCTCTGAGTTCCCATCCCATTGATTCTGTCTCCCACTTTCTGCCTCTCATGGAACCTTCTCCTGGATGTGAGTGGCTGCAGGGGACATGAGGATACAGTTCAGAATCAGGCAACGGTCTGTGAGCTGAAGGCAGGGGCAGGGAGTCTGGTGCTCTCTCTAGAAAGTCCTGCCTCTGTGGCTCCTGTCTTGGGCCAGGGACCATCCTGCCAGTGAGGAACACACAGCTGTGTGCTCCCATCCTGCTTCCCCACATGGCCCTGAGCTCTCTGGCCTGTGCCCCGTGAGACTTACTTTTTTTGTTGGAGCACCAGAGATGAAGGAGAAAGAAGAGGAGGAGGATGAAGAGGATGATGACCACTGAGGTCCCAATCAGAATGTGCAGGTGTCTGGGGTTACCTGGAAGAAGAGGAGACACCAGTAAGAAGCTAATCATAGCAGTTTCTCTATATGAATTGTCTTGCATTTCTTGATTGACAGGTAACCACTTACAGCATCTCTTTCGGACAAGCACCCAGATGGCGGGAGACCTAGCTTCCTCCTGCTTTCTCAGTTATAGCTCTCATAGTAACCATGGAACGTGCTGAGGATACAACTACTTTAGTTGAGATGTTTGACCCCTTCAAACCTCACATTGAAATTTAACCCCCAGTGTGGGAGGTTGGGCCTCTTGGGAGGTGTTTGGGTCATGGAGGTGGATCCATCATGAACAGATCAATGCTGTCCCAAGGAGACGGGGTTAGCAAGTTCCCTCTCTATTAGTTCCTGGAGAGCTGGTTGTTAAAAAGAGCTTGGAAGCTCCATTGCTCCCCCTCCCCCTTGCTCCCTCTCTTGCCGTGTGATCTCTGTGGTCTCTGCACAGACAGACCCTCCTTCCCTTCTGCCAGAGTGGGAGCGGCCTGAGGCCATCATAAGAAATAGATGCTGGTGCCATGCTTCCAGTACAGCCTGCAGAATGGTGAGGCAAACCAATCTCTTCTTTAGAAGTTACCCAGGCTCAAGTGTTCCTTTAGAGCAACAAAAATGGACTAAGACAGCAAAGTCCTGAGATCAGGAGGATCGTCCCAGAACAGCCTGGGCTGTCTTCCTGTTCTTCCTGGAGGAGGACGTCATGCAGTGCTTTAGCTGAGTGCTTCCTGTGGCTCCAGGGTACAAAACCCAGGCTGGGCTGCTTTCTGGCTTCCCCCAGCTACACTGCAAATGGGGTGACTCCACATGTCTCGAGCAGCTTTTCTGAGCCTTGGGGAACTGGCTCACATTGAAATGTAGGCTTCTGTTGTCACTCGCTGCTTATCTGTTAGTAATGAACCTGCCTATGTAACGTATTCTCTGTGTGTTCTGTCTCCCTGGAGTGACGGTGAGTGATAGGAATTGGCATAGGCCCAGGTGCAGTCCAGGAGGTGTTTAGAGTCTTCTCTGGGAAGACTGGACTGGGATTGATACACAGCGAATGTGCTTTAGGATTTCTACATCCACGGCATTCTTGAGTTAAACAACTTGCATTCTCCAAGAAAAGGAAACAAAAGTGAAATCAATATAAAAAAAGCGAAGTAGAATTCTCTTATGTCAAACAGCCAGAAAATAGTGTTGAAGCCCGTGTGAAATGTGCTACTCTTTGTGATCTCGGGAGACACATGTTAGGCTGCTGTTCTACCTCAGAGGCTGGGGGAAGGACCACCCCCTCGACTATCTATTGCTTCAATACCACCTGTCCTCCTGTGAATTAGTAGGAAAGGGGAGCAGGAGCTAGTGCTGGCACTGATCTCTGATTCCAAGATCTGGACTCACTCCAAGGAGTATTAGCATTTACCTCCCCATGATCTATCTGTATCTCCACAGGTGATTGGAAGTAGGGGTGAGATGGGGGATTTGGGTGAGGGGGCAAGTTTTTTTTGTGATGACCAGAGCACTTTCTCTATTCCAGGATTTGTGCTGGAGGATTCAGCGGGCTTTCACATTTTCTATATGATCTCATGCTCACAGAAAGCCAAATACGGAAGAGGTTTTAGGCTGATTGCCTAATGGATAAGATAAAGGATCAAAGAAGTAATTATAGAGAAATAGAAAAATGATGATGGGAATTCAGGTGCCTTTGTCATTCGTGTGTGTTTTATTATATTTATGCATTTCTTATTTTTATTTTTTGAGATGGAGTCTCCTTGTGTCACCCAGGCTGGAGTGCAGTGATGCGATCTCCACTCACTGCAACCTCCACCTCCTGGGTTGAAGTCATTCTCCTGCTTCATCCTCCAGAGCAGGAGCTGGGATTACAGGGATGCACCACCATGCTCGGCTAATTTTTGTATTTTTAGGAGAGATAGGGTTTCACCATGTAGAGATAGGGTTTCTCCATGTTGGCCAGGCTGGTCTCGAACTCCTGACTTCTTGGAATCCACTGGCCTTAGCCTCCTGCAGTGCTGGGTTACAGGAGTGAGCCACCGTTCACAGACTTGTATACTATGCTATAATAGGTCCCTTCATTTCCACCACCCCTCATATATCTGTCACTCCTTTGGCAGGTATTGATTTATGTGTAGGAGGAATAAATCTCAGAAAGAAATTAATTTAGCAAGGATTAAACAACTAGGAAACTCAAACCCAGCAAGCCCTCCCTGCAAATGATTCTACCTCCCAAACATAGCTTATATCCATCTGCTTCATCCACTTAGGGTCTAAATCAGCACCACATTTCACCAGTGGGGCGGCAATTGCCTTTTCCACTGTCTCCTAGATTCCAGTTACGCACCTGGGCCTCCCTTATTTTCATGTCAGTCACTATTAATCATGTAGGGATTCCTGGCTACCCCGAGGTGAATCCAATGGCTGTGAGTGTCAAACACACACTCCTTGTTGCTCCTTAGTTTCCTGTGTACCCAGTGTGCTCTCCGTCTCTCCACAGTCGTCTTGTCATTCTCCCCACCTCATTCCCAGCATTTCAGGCAGAGCCTCTTCCTTCCACATCAGATTGTTTTCAGCTTTCTGCCTTCACGGCTGACAGCTGTGTGTGGAAAATCCTTCCGCCAATCTTTCAGGGGTTCAATCCGTGTTTTTCATTAATGTCACAAATATCTGATTAGTGAGACCTTCTCTGTCACCCAAAATTATACACTCAGCATTATCTATTATTTATTTTGAATTCTGGCTGGGCAAAGTGGCTCACGCCTGTAATCCCAGTACTTTGGGTTGCTGAGATGGTCGGATCACTTGAGGTTGGGAGTTTCAGACAAGCTTGGCCAACATGGTGAAACATCCTCTCTACAAAAAATATACAAAAAGAATTAGCCGGGCATGGTGGCAGTTGCCTGTAATCCCAGCTACTCGAGAGGGTGAGGCAGGAGAATCACTTGGATCCAGGAGACGCAGGTTGCAGTGAGCCAAGATCGTGACACTGCACTGTAGCCTGGAAGACAGAGGGAGACTCTGTCTCAATAAATAAATGAACGAACAAACAAATAGATTTCATGCACAGATGCTTCCCAATGGATCATTCATTTATTGGTCCACTTGTGCATTCATTTTCTGTCCTCCCATTTAACCATCTGCAATATCAGTGTCCCAAGAGCAGAGGCCAAATGCATCTTGTTCACCGTTCGTGGAAGGCAGGAGAATGCTGTCCCACCCCAAAATGTCCCTGTCCTAGCCTCCATAGCTTGTGAATATCTTATTTTACATGGAAAGAAGGAATGAAGATTGCAGATGGAATTACGGTTGCTAGTCAGCTGAACTGAAAACAAGGGTATCCTGAATGATTTCCGGGAGATTATGATGGATTTTCATCTTGGTGAACCCAATAGAATCCCCAAGTTTTCAAAAGATAAGGAAGAAGGGAGAGCAGCATTCAGAGAAAGAGGTGTGGTAAGGAAGAAGGGTCTGAGTGATGCCATGTGAGATGTGACCAGTCTTTGTGGGCTTTGAGGAAGGAGGAAGGGGACCAGGAGCCAAGGAACTGGGAGCCTTTAGAAGCTGGGACAAGTGAGAAGCAGATTCTTGCCTGGAATCCTCAGAGGGAAGGCAGCCTTGCTGTCACCTTGATTTTAGCCCAGTAAGATGCACTTCCTACTTTGAGCTACAGCACTGTAAGATAATTAAAAAACCGTTTTGTTTTCACCCACGAATCTTGTGGAAATTTGTTATGGCAACAATAGGAAAGGATTCCAACTGCACAGCCTGAGCATGGGGCCGTGGCTGAATGAGTCAGTGAGTCGAAGTGTGCGTGCATGAGCTCTGTTCTCTGTTACGGCAAGGCTCTTGCTCTGCTGAGTCAGCCAGGGTTGCTTCATGACCAACAGTAATTCATTCCTTGGCAAGTGGAACTTCTCTAAAACACCTCGCCCTCATCAGATGTTCCCTTCCCTTCCCTCTCTCAAGTCCCCAGGAATTTATCCTCCAGTTAGGAATGCAGGAAGAAAAAACACTGCATGTTTCCTGAGAAGGATGTCAGATTGGCAATCATTCTTCTAGCTTGTAGGAGGTCTCACCTGCAGGACATTAAAGGTTAAGAGACTTCGCTGAGTCCTTTGGTGGCCCTAGATCCCTTTCACTGTTGGAGTGTCTGGAGTTCAGAGATGGTGGAAGACAGGCCCTCATTCACAGAGCTGGGAGGTTTGAGCCAACACTTGCATCCAAGGCTTCCACCTCCCCAGGTTTCCAAAAGCAGAGATAAGAGGGGTCCTTTACTCACCAGATTTGGAGCTTGGTTCTGTGGGTGAAGGCCAACTACTTGAAGGGTTTCCTAGAACATGGGACAGGAGAGATGTGAGGAAATGAGGGTGCTTGTCCTCTACTCAATGGAAATCTTTGAGGTTGGTTCATGGCCAACACTCTGTTATCTAATGTTGGACCCTGGGAGTCTTGGGATCCTCTTCTCCATAATTTTTGTGTGCGATGCCCACTGTCTTGAGACTTGAAGGTATAAAGAGAAAACAGGAGCATCACACTACCTGACTTAGAAATATGTTACAGAGCTGTAGTAAGCAAAACAGCATGACATTGGCATAAAGAAAGGCACATAAAAAATGAAACAGAATGGAGAACACAGATATAATCCATGCATTTACATCCAATGGCTTTTTTTGTGTGTGTGTGTGTTAGAATCTTGCTCTGTCATGCAGGCTGGAGTGCAGAGGTGCAATCTCAGCTCAATGCAACCTCCACTTCCTGGATTCAAGCAATTCTCTTGCCTCAAACACCCGAGTAGTGGTATTACAGGCACTGGTCACCATGCTCAGCTAATTTTTGTATTTTTAGTAGAGACGAGGTTTCACTCTGTTGGCCAGCCTGATCTTGAACTCCTGGCTTCAGGTGATCCACCCGCCTCGGCCTCCCAAAGTGCTGGAATTGCAGGTGTGAGCCACCATACCCAGCCCATTTAATGGACTTTGACAAAGGTGCCGAGAACTTACAATCAGGAAAGGACAGTCTTTTCAATAAATGGTGTGGGGAAAACTGGATATCTATATGCAGAGGAATAAAACTGCATCTATACCTGTCACCATACACAAAAATCAAATGAAAATGGATTAAAAACATGAGTCTAAGGCCTGAACCTATGAAACATGTAGAAGAAAATAATGGGGAAGACATTTGTCTGACGAAAGACATTTTGTTTAAAACCTTCAAAACACAAGTAATCAAAGCAAAAAATAGACCATTAGGATTACATCAAACCAAGCAACTTCTGCACCACAAAAGATAAACCAAGAAAGTGAAGAGACAACCGACAAAATAGGAGCAAATATTTGCAAACTATTCATCTGAGACGGGATTAATAACTGGAAATATAAGAAGCTCAAACAACTCAATAAAACAATTTAATTAAAAAACGAGCAAAAGACATGAGGAGACATTTCTCCACAAACAAAACATAGAAATGGCGATCACGTATATGAAAAAGTACTCGGCATCACTCATCATCAGAGAAATGTAAATTACAATCGCGATGAGTTTTCATCTCATCCCATTAAAATGCCTTTTAGGCCGGTGGCTCACGCCTGTAATTCCGGCACTTCAGGAGGCGGAGGTGGGCGGATCACCTGAGGTCGGGAGACCAGCCTGACCATCATGGAGAAACTCCCTCTCTACTAAACATACAAAAATTAGCTAGGCGTGGTGGCACATGCCTGTAATCCCAGCTACTTTGGAGGCTGAGGCAGGAGAATCAGTTGAACGCGGGAGGCGGAGGTTGCAGTGAGCTGAGATCACACCCTTGCACTCCAGCCTGGGAGACTATGAGTGAAACTCCATCTCAACATAAATAAATAAATAAAATAAAGTAAAGTAAAATGGCTTTTACTGCAAGACAGGCAAAACAAATGCTGGCAAGATGGTAGAGAAAGGAGAACCCTGGTACCCTGTTGGTAGGAATGTAAATTAGTACAACTATTATGGAGAAAAGTATGGAAATTCTTTAAAAAACTAAAAGGAGGCTGGGCATAGTGGCTTATGCCTGTAACTTCAGCACTTTGGGAAACCGAGGCAGGCACCTCACTTGAGGTCAGGAGTTTGAGAGCAGCCTGCCCAAAATTGGGATATCCCGTCTGTGCTAAAAAAATACAAGAATTAGCCAGGCATGGTGGCGTGCACCTGTAATCACAGCTACTAGGGAGGCTGAGTCAGGACAATCATTTGAACCTAGGAGGCACAGGTTGCAATGAGCCAAGATCTCACCACTTAGACTCCAGCTTGGACTAAGGAGGGAAACTCTTTCTCAAAAAAGAAAAAAAAAAAAAGAGAACTTTCATAGTGTCCAGCAATTTCACTACTGGGTTTATATCCAAAGGAAAGGACATCAGTGTATCGAAGTGATATCTGCACTCATATGACTGTTCCAGCACTGTTCACAGTAGCCAAGATGTGGAGTCAACCTACCTGCCCATCAGTGGGTGAATGGATAGAGAACTGTGGTACACACACACAGTGGAGACTACTCATCCATAGAAACAATAACATCCTGTCATTTGCAGCCACATGGATGGAACTGGAGGTCATTACAAAGATTCCCATTTCTCACCCACATGCAGGAGATAAAAGGTGGATCTCATGAAGGTGGAGAATACAATGGTGGACACCAGAGGCCAGGAAGGGAAGGGTGGAGGGTAACAAAAAAAAGAATATAGATGTATTTATTTATTTAGAAACAGAGTCTCTCTCTGTCTCCCAGGCTGCAGTGCAGTGGCATGATCTCGGCTCAGTGCAACCTCTGCCTCCTGGCTTTAAGTGCTTCTCCTGCCTCAGCCTCCCAAGTAGCTAGGACTACAGGTGCATGCCAGCATGCTCGGCTAATTTTTCTTGTCTGTTTAGTAAAGATGAATTTCCCACATGTTGGCCAGGGTGATCTCGAGTTCCTGATCTTAAATGATCCACCTTCCTTGGCCTCTCAAAGCGCCGAGATTACAACCGTGAACCACCACACCCAGCATATAAAGGTATTTATGACCACTAGATTTTACTTTTAAAAATGGTAAAGGTGGTAAATTATATAGTTACATTTAACCTCAATAAATATTTTTGAAAATGAAAAGAAAAGGGTGTAGGGGTTGCTGGTGATGATATCTCTCTGTGTGGGTGAGAGGCCATGATGGGCTTCTGGGAAATGGATAAGATTGAGGGGCTGAGGGAACCTCTGATCTCCCCAAACTAAGCCCAGTCTCCCCTTCTCTGGGTCTGTCCTGACCGCTTTCTCCATCTGCCTGGGTGCCTGGAGCCCTGATCGGAGGCCTCCATGCAGGCCATGAAGGAGGGTTTGGAGGTGCCCTGTCTGCCATCCTGCGCCCTGACTCCGCCCTCACACCTGCTGTGTCTTCTCTCTGCATCTGTCCATGCTTTTCTCCATCATCAGCAGGAAGCTCCTTAGCTAAGGATTTAGGATCATAGGACATGAGAGAGATATGGGCTTTTCTCACCTGTGACAGAAACAAGCAGTGGGTCACTCGGGTCTGACCACTCGTAGGGAGAGTGACGGAAAGAGCCGAAGCATCTGTAGGTCCCTCCGTGGGTGGCAGGGCCCAGAGGGAAATCTGCCTGGAATGTTCTGTTGACCTTGCGCACTGCAGGGAGCCTACGTTCATGGGCTCCCCGCTCCCTGGATAGATGGTACATGTCATAGGAGCTCCGGGAGCTGCAGGACAAGGTCACGCTCTCTCCTGCCTGAACCTTGGGGCCCGGCTGGGCTGAGAGAGAAGGTTTCTCATATGGACCTGGAAGGAGAAGAGGCAGTTTCCTCAGGGAGGTTCTTCCTTGTCATAGCTCCCCTCATACCTGAGCTGAGAACTCACTCCCCTGCTCTATGACCTAATGCTCTCTCTCTCTCTCTCACCCTCCACCCCATCTCTCTTCATATCTGTTTCCTCCTTCTACCTTTTCTGTCTCTCTAGGTCTATGACCTCACTTCCCCACCCTGAGGTATGTTTTCCCTTTTTGGATTGTTTTATTCTCTCTGACCCTCCTTGGATTGGTTGACTTGATCTTCCTTTTTCTTTAATTTTGAGTCTCTCACTTTCTGTCTTGTTCATAACTTTCTGCACATTTCTATCTATTTATCTATTTTGTGTCTATCTACAAATTATCTATCATCTATATTTATGTATCACTTATCTATCTCTCTATCAATTGTCTATCTGTCTATCTATCCATCAATCATCTATTATCTATATATGTATCATCTATCTCTCTCTCTATTACCTCTCTGTCTGCCTCTCTGTCTCTATTTATGTATCATCTATGTATATATCTATGTGTCTATCATCATCATCGTCATCTCTATGTATCATCTATCAGTCATCATCTATGTATCTATAACCAATCCATTATCTATCATCTACCTATTTATCATCTATCTACGTCTATCTATCCATCTATCATCTCTCTCTCTCCGTCTCCTTGTCTTTCTCTGCCTCTCAGTCTCTCTAGTTCTATTTGGAATCTCTGCAATCCATCCCCACATATTTATCTTTCTCTGTCTTTGTGTCCCTCCCTCAGGGTTCTGATTTTGGGGCTTTTCTCTCCTCCTTTCCATCATTCTCTCCATTCTGCCCTCTTTTCTTTCTTTTTATGTGTCTGTGAATCTCTTAATCTCCTTCTTCTGGCTCATTTTGTGTGTGTTTATGTCTTTGTTTTTTGGTGTCCCTGATTTTTCTCTGTGTCTCTCAGCGATCCTATCATATGTGGGATTATTTGGAATATGAGCCTCAGAATCCAGTCTGGGGACCCCAAGTTCACACAGCATACAGGGGTTGGTGTTCAGGGGCCATGATATCCTGGGATGATTACTCTCCATTGCATGGAAGGCAGAGGTGTCAGAATAAACACGGCATCTGTAGGTGGCACAAGGCCTGAGGCCACAGGGCCCAACTCAGGTCAGAAATATGGGTGTCCTTGGGTTCTTCTGGTAGGAACACTTTGTGGAGGTAAAACAGAAATGAAACTTCTAACCTGTGCCAGGTCTCTGAGCAAAGTCAGCATGGAAGGACACCTCTCTCTGGGACATGTCTGTCTGTCTGAGTGTCTCCTTTACCTCTTTCTCTCTTTTCTACCTCCCTGTATGGCCCCTGTGTCTGTCCTCTGTTATGACACCTGTTCTGTACTTATGTCTCCTGTTTCTCTGTCTCTGTTGGTACAGACCTCACCAAGTCACTCTCTTTCCATAAGAATCCCACACTTATCTTCCTCATGACCACCTGGGGGTTCCAAGTCCTGGATCATTCACTCTGTGTCCCAGTGACAATGAGAACAATGTCTAGACACTCTCACCTGTGACCACGATGTCCAGGGGATCACTGGGAGCTGACAACTGATAGGGGGTGTGAGTAACAGAACCGTAGCATCTGTAGGTCCCTGCAAGGGCAAGCATCATGGGACCGATGGAGAAATTGGCCTTGGAGACCCCATCATGGATCTGTCCAACGAGGCGTGAGGGGTCCTTAGAGATCCCCTCTTTGTGCAGAAAGAAGTGCTCAAACATGATATCTGACCAACATTGCAGGATGACTCTCTCTCCTGATTTCACCAGGGGACCTGGGTGGGCCAGGAGGGAAGGTTTTCTGTGGTTTCCTAGAAAGAGAAGTTGTGAGTTTAGAAGGCATCTCTCTTTATCATCCCATCCATGGCACCTGGAATGAGTGAGGGTTCCCCTCCCCGTGTCTGTCTCTCTCCTCCCTCTCTGCATCTCCGTGTCTTTTCTGTGCCCATATCCCCTGGTGCAGGTGCCTCCATCTGTCTTCCTCCCTCTTCTCTGTCCCTCTGTCTCCAGTAGCCCCTGACTCCCTTGCCACTGTGAAGACAGCCTCATCTCTTGGGCTGTTGTATCTGTTTCCCACTAATCTCTTTCCTGCTGTCTATGTGGGGGTGGAAGAGGAGAGGCTGCATGTCCAGGCTCTTAGCAGCCTGAATCAATCTCTTTTGAACAAATCCCCAGTTCAAGTGATTCTCTTGCCTCAGCCTCCCCAGTCGTTGGATTACTCGCGCCCACCACCACATCTGGCTATCCTTGTTTGGTTTCCTAACTTGTCCTTGACCTGGGTTCCTGTGTTGGTTTCCTGTTGCTGCTGCAGAAAATTACCACAAACATGGCAGCGGGAGAGAACACACTGACCCCTTCCACTTCTGGAGACAGAAATTGGATCCAGTTCTCCCTGTGCTGAAATCAAGGTGTCTACAGGGCTGCGTTCCCTCTGGAGAATCAGCGAATCAGTTCTCTTGACTTCTCCAGCCCTTAGAGGCCACCTGCATTCTGTGACTAGTGGTCTTCCTCCACCTTCAAAGCCCGCAGTGGCTGATAGCGTCTCCCTCCCACTACACTGCTCTAATCCCCACTCCCCTCTTCCTCCACCTCTCATGTGGACCCTTGTGATTACACTGAGCCCAGTGGGACAGTCCAGGCTGTCTCCCCATCTCAAGGTCAACTCATCAACAACCTGAGCTCCACCTTCCCCTTCAGTCCCCTGCCCTGTAACATAAATAGTCACAGGCTCCAGGGATTACAATGTAGCCATCATTGGGGACAGTGATTCTTCCCACCACAGCACCCATTTCCCCTGTATTCAATCTCCCTTGACCCCAAATACAGTCAGGGCCTGGGTGATGGGACCCTGACGGACACCCCCACCAGAAGCTCTGGGATTCAGGAGGTGGGACAGTGAGAAGCCCAGACGGAAAGCCTCTGACCTGTGACCATGATCACCACGGGGTTGCTGGGTGCCGACCACCCAGTGGGGGAGTGTGGGTGTGAACCCCGACATGTGTAGTTCCCTGCATGTGCTGTGGTCACAGGGCTCATGTTGAAGCTCTCCTGGAATAATCTGCCATGGAAGATGGGAACGTGGATTCTGTCTTCTTTGTATAGCATGAAATTGTTAAACCTATGACGATAGTGACACCGAAGAGTCACGTGTCCTCCTCGAGGCACCACAGCGCTGGGCCAGGCAGACAGGAAGGGCTTGTCCTGACCACCTGGGGGAGAAGGAGGCACTGCCTTAGAGAGGAGGATGTGGAGCCGCCCCTCACTCCCAGTGCCCAGAAGATTCTCCCCATTTCCACTTTCTAAGGCTCCTACCACACCTGGGTGCCCAGGGCTACAGGAAGGACCCATCCTGCATAGACATGGCGTCTCCCTACAACAAGTGTCAGCTGAGAACTTTGAGCAAGTGCTGGAGAAGCAACTCTTACTAGATTTTAATACTGCAAAATTACTCATATAAAACAACACAAAGTAGACACGGCATGGAGGGCAAGTCCTATGTGAATGGAATATCAGCCAATTGATGAACTGAGCCCCCATCAGAGGATTTGGAATGTCAGGGCCATGGCTGTGGTTTCCTCACCTTTTCTGGTAGAAAGACCACAGCCACACTGCAGCCCCTACCATCACGGAAACGCTGGAGGGTGTGAGTTACACCTTTGTCCTCAGAGGACCTGCTGTTCCTAGCACTGCTTCCCTCTCTTTCTCTGCTGCTGACACCACTTCCTCCCTGCACACCCATCTTGGAGCACCCTAGTCTCACCCCAGTCTTCACAGAGCTTGACTCAGGAAAGGGAAAGAAAGGCCGGGGAGGGCAAGGTCAGAAATGTGGGCCGAGCATCCGAGGGTCCCCTCTTCCTAGTTTATGAGAGACTCCCCGACAGGACTTCCCTCCCATTTCAGGAAAATCCTCTTATGTGGGGAGATGACACCCTAAGGTTTGGGGAAGGACTCACCCACGTGTGGACCGGCCCTCTGGACCAAGAAGAACCCTAGAAAGAAAGATCATGATGGACCATCCATCTGCAGGCAAACCAGGGCACCCTGCTGCCCCCACTGGGCTGTGCGTCTTGGCAGCCAGGCCCTTGCTGGGCTGAAGGTAAACTCACCCTCGCTGCCTACCTGCCCCCAGGAACAAGGATCTCGGCTGTGCAGAGACTCAGCCTCCAGGCCCAGATCTCTACCTCCAGGCCTAGATCTACACAACAGGCCCAGATCTCCACTCCAGGTCCGTATCTCCACTCCAGACCCATATCTCCTCTCCAGGCTGATAAGTCCACTCCAGGCCCATATCTCCACTCCAGGCTCCTATCTCAACTCCAGGCTCATATATCCACTCCAGGCTCATATCTCCACTCCAGGCCCATATTTCCACTCCAGGCTTCTATCTCCTCTCCAGGCCCATATCTCCTTTCCAGGCTTGTATGTCTGCTCCAGGCCCGTATCTCCACCCCAGGCCCATATCTCCACTCCAGGATCATATCTCCACTCCAGGCCCAGATCTCCACTTCATGCCCTTAACTCCACCTCCGGGCCCATAACTCCACCTCTAGGCCCATATCTCCACTCCAGGCCCATATCTCCACTTCAGGCCCATATCTCTACTGCAGGCCCATAACTCCACCTCCAGGCCCATATCTCCACTCCAGGCCCATCGCTCCACTTCTAGGCCCATCACTCCACCTCTAGGCCCACATCTCCCCTCCAGGCCCATCCATATCTCCCCTCCAGGCCCATATCTCCACCCCAGGCACATATCTCCACCCCAGGCCCATATCTCCACTCCAGGCCCAGATCTCCACTCCAGGCACATATCTCCACCCCAGGCCCCTATCTCCACTCCAGGCCCAGATCTCCACTCCAGGCCCAGATCTCCACTTCAGGCCCATAACTCCACCTCCAGGCCCATAACTCCACCTCTAGGCCCATATCTTTACCTCCAGGTCCAGATCTCCATCCCCGCACTCCCTCCCTCGATTCCCTTCCAGGACTCACCAACACACGCCATGCTGACGACCATGAGCAACATGGTGCTGCCGGTGCAGACAGGCGGCCGCGCCCCAGCTCAGCTCAGCAGCGCACAGGATGTTATTTGGCGCCCTGCCCATGCAGTTTACATGTTGACCACATCATGGGAGGGTGACGTACGCAGGCTCTTTCTACCTTGCATGAGGCCCAGTGGGTGCTCGCTCAAGAGCGGAACATGGCTTCCTGGAAATTGCTCTCACTAGAATTGACACCTCGCGTCCTTCACTATGACCAACTCAAAACACGTCTTAGATCCAACCTCCCGAACACGAGATGCCTAAAATCTGTGCTAACATGAAAGACTTTTCATGTATTTTTTTTGCTTTTATCTGAGATTCAAACTCTTCTTCCTGTGTAATATGCAAAATATCTAATAGGTATTATTAAGGTTTTCAGAGCAATTGTGACAATAAACCATTAGAATTTTTCATGATTGTATTTCTAGTATTACAGCAGAACCAGTTCAAATGATTTAAACTCCCAGGGAAGGATTATGCAATTATTTACAATCTTAGAATTGTACTTTATCAGCAAAAATCACAACATGTAAATTCTGGATTTTTGTAGATTTATCTAGAATTTGTCTCATGTCCCAAGATTCCAGAGTTCCAACTCATGGTTTGCTCTCTCTCTGTCTCTCTGCCTCCCTCATTTTAAATTTTACAGAAATATCCAGTAACATAATGCTATAGAAAATCAATTTCCCCAGCACTTTGGAAGCCGAAGTGAGTGATCAACCGAGGTCAGGAGTTTGAGACCAGCCTGGCCAATATAGTGAAACCATGTCTCTGCTAAAAATACAAAAATTAGCCATGCCTGGTAGCAGGCACTTGTAATGCCAGCTATTCAAGAGGCTGAGCCACGGAATCCCTTGAACCTGGGAGGCGGAAGTTGCAGTGAGCCGAGATCGTGCCACTGCACTCCAGCCTGGGCAACAGAGCGAGACTCTGCCTCAAGAAAAATAAAAAAAGCATAGCAAATAGCCTATAATAAATAACTAGAGGACTCCAGCTACCAAATTTTAGGGGTTGTATAAGGCTGCATAAAATGCAGCATTCTCAAGAGAGTGGACAGAGAGAGAGCCACTGAGCAGAAAACAGTGTCTAAAATACATCCGTGTACACACAGTCCCTTTATAGTTGACAAAGGCTGCCATGTGGTTTAAGGTGGAATAGAATGTCTTCTCAATAAATAACATGGGCCCAAGGGTTACACATGGAGAAAAATATATCTAAAAGTATTCTCACACTATAAAACACTTGTTTATTTTATCTTGTTATTGTAATTTTTTTATGTTTTATATTTAAAATTGAGAAATAAAAATTATATACAGTCATCCCTCACTATTCGTGGGTGATTGGTTTCAGGATCTCCACTCAGATAGCACAATCTGCAGATGCTCAAGCCTCTTACATGAAATGGCACAGCATTTGCAAATAACCCATGCACATCCTCCTGTGTACATGAAATCATCCCTTGATTATTTATAATTCCTGATACAGCCTACACACAGCTTCATTTGTGTCCATTCAACATAGTTTTGCTTTTTGAAACTTTGTGGATTTTTTCTCTGAATATTTTTGATTTATATTTGGTTCAATAAACACCTGTAAATCCCACAGATACAGAGGACCGACTGTATATTTATAGTATGAAAGATGATGTGTTGATATGTGTCCCCGTGGAGATGAGACTGACAAGGCCTATGACTCTACAAATGTTTCATCATGGAATGACTCTGCCAGCTTTCCAGGTCTGCAGAGAGTAAGAATATCACTTGTTCATGTGATTCACGATCCTTGGAACCTCTTATGTGCTGCATCTTTGGATGGAAATTGGAGTCTCAGAGACAAATCAGGCTCCACCCTGCTTCCAGAAGCTCAGAGTCCAGGGGTGAGAACCCAGTGGAGAACAGTTGGAGTTATTTGGACATGGTAATGATAACACTGGAAACTTTCAGCCAAAAAAAGAGTCACCTAAAGAATGAAGGCAGACATGTTTATTTGAAGAGGAGAGAACTACACTGAAATCAAAAAAATTTTATAAGGTTTGCTGATGCCAGAAGGCTGAAAAATAGTCTGAGGAAAGGTGGAACAGCACGAGGGAAGGTGGAACAGCACGTGTCTAAGTGCCGTGTTAATAGAGAGCCTCTTGTATGTTTGGAATTGTGAGTTCCTCAGTGTGATTGCAGCCTCAAGTAGACTAGGAAGTAAGCCAGTTAGGTTGGAGAGGTGGGCAGGGGTCAAGTGAAATAGAGAATTGTGGGCTAAGCAAAGGAGTGTGTTTTCTCTGCAGCAGGCAGTGGGGACCTTAGACATTGGTAAGCAAGAGACAGGCACCAGATTTGTGGTGTGAGGAAGAGTGATGCTCTAAGATGGAGACTCACGCCTTCAGATTCCAGCTGCTGGTACATTAGAGCTGGCAAGCTGGGTTTGAGACAGGGCTGTTGTCTCCCTAGAAGATCCCATCAAGGCCTGACTGTGGTGCTCATGGGCAGGAGATAACGCTCTGGGCTCAGCATTTGGAAGTTCTATACACACGCTGGTATCTGTTGAGGGTCTCTTGCTCCTCTGAGAAGGGCCAGTGATTTTTCTCTGTGTGAAAATGCAGTGATCCAACTGTGCGTATGTCACCTCCTGAGGGTCTTGTTCATCAGAGTCCTGGAGAGAGGGAAATCCTGAGTGAGGGAGGGTGTTCACATTTTTCAGGACTATTAGGGAATAAGACTGTATCCATGAGGCTGGGCTAGGAGGACCTACCTCCCTGTTCACTGTTCTGTGTCCCGCAGGCTCTTGGTTCATTACAGCAGCATCTGTAGGAGACGGAAGCAATCAAAACAGCTGGGAGGGCACTTCTGGGTCCTCATTTCATGAACAGATACCAACACACAGGGGGAGGCCATAGGTGCCTGAGGTCCCTCAGCTGCCAACAGCCAGACTCAGACATTCCATCTCTCTGAGTGCAAGACCCCATTCCATGAATAGCTGTCAGTTCCCATCCCATTGATTCTATCTCCCACTTTCTGCCTGTCATGGAATCTTCTCCTGGATGTGAGTGGCTGCAGGGGACGTGAGGATACAGTTCACAATCAGGCAATGGTCTGTGAGCTGAAGGCAGGGGCAGGGTGTCTGGTGCTCTCTCTAGAAAGCTCTGCCTCTGGCTCCTGCCTTGGGCCAGAGACTTTCCTGCCAGTGAGGAACACACACCTGCGTGCTCCCATCCTGCTTCCGCACAGGGCCCTGAGTTCTCTGGCCTCTGCTTCGTGAGGCTTACTTTTTTTTTTGGAGCACCAGCGATGAAGGAGAAAGAAGGGAAGGATGGTGAAGAGGATGATGGCCACTGAGTACCTAATCACAGCATGCAGGTGTCTGGCGATACCTGGAGGAAGATGAGAATCCAATAAGAAGCTAACCATAGCAGTTCCTCTTTGTGGATTGTCTCTCATTTCTTGGTTGCCAGGCAACCACATAAAACACCTCTTTAGGACAAGCACCCACGAGGCGGGAGACCCAGCTTTCTCCTGCTTTCTCCGTTATAGTTTTCATAATAACAATAGAATGTGCTGATGATACAACTGCTATTGTTTCAATGTTTGACCCCTCCAAACCCCACTTTGAAATTTAATCCCCAGTGTGGGAGGTTGTGCCTATTGGGAGGGGTGTTTTGGTCATGGGGGTGGATCCATCATGAATAGATTAATGCTGTCCCCAGAGGACGGGTTTAGCAAGTTCTCCCTCTATTAGTACCCTGGAGAGTTGATTCTTAAAAAGAGCTTGGAAGCTCCATCACACCCCCTTTCTCCCTCTCTTGCCATGTGATCTCTGTGGTCTCTGCACACGCAGGACCCCCTTCTCTTCTGTCAGTGTGGGAGCAGCCTGAGGCCGCAGCCAGAAATAGATGGTAGTGTCCTGCTTCTAGTACAGCGTGCCGATCAGTGAGCCAAACACATCTCTTTTCTTTAGAAGATACCCAGGCTCAAGTGTTCTTTTATAGCAACAAAAATAGGCTAAGACAGCAACATCCTGAGATCAGGAGGAACGTCTCAGAACAGCCTGGGCTGTCTTCCTGTTCTTCCTGGAGGAGAACATCATGCAGTGCTTTAGCTGAGTGTTCCCTGTGGCTCCAGGGTACAAAACCCAGGCTGGGCTGCTTTCTGGCTTCCCCCAGCTACAGTGCACATGAAGTGACTCCATGTGTCCTGAGCAGTTTTTCTGAGCCTTGAGGGACTGGCTCACCCTGAAAGGAAGGTTTCTGTTGTCACTCGCTGCTTATCTATAAGTAATGAACCTGCCTATGTAATGTATTCCCTGTGTGTTCTGTCTCCCTGGAGTGATGGTGAGTGATAGAAATTGGCACAGGCCCAGGTGCAGTATGGGAGGTGTTTAGAGTCTTCTCTGGGAAGACTGGACTGGGATTGATACACAGTGAATGTGCTTTACAGTTTCTACATCCACAACCCTCTTGACTCAAACAAATTACATTCTCCAAGAAAAGGAAAAAACAGTGACATTGAAATCAACATAAGTGAGGTTGAGCTGTCTTATATCAAACAGCCAGGAAATAATGATGAAGCTCGTGGGCAACATGCTACTTTTGTCATCTTGGGAGTCAGATATTAGGCTGCTGTTCCACCCGAGAGTCTGGGGGAAAGACCACCCCCTCCATCATCTGTTGCTTCAATACAGCCTGTCTTTCTGTGAATTACTCCAAAAGGTGACCAGGAGATAGTGCTGGCACTGGTCTCTGAGTCTACGATCTGAACTCCAAAGAATATTAGTTTTTACCTCCCCATGATCTATCTGTATCATTAATGTGATTGGAAGTAGGGGTGAGGTGGGGGATTTGGGTGAAGGGGCAAGTTTTGTGCCATGAACAGATCACGTTCTCTATTCCAGGACCTGTGCTGGTGGGTTTCACATTTTCCATATGATCTCATGCTCACAGAAAGCCAAATAAGGAAGATGTTTTCGCCTGATTTTCTTATGGATAGGATAAAGGATCAAAGAAGTCATTATAGAGAAATAGAAAAATGATGATTGGAATTGGTGTGCCTTTGTCATTCGTGTATGTTATATTATATTTATGTATTCTTTATTTTTATTTTTTGCCATGGAGTCTCACTCTGTCACCTAGGGTGCAGTGCAATGACGCGATCTTGGCTCACTGTAACCTCTCCCTCCCTGGTTGAAGCCATTCTCCTTCTTCAACTTCCTGAATAGCTGGTATTACAGGCACGCGCCACCACCCCCAGCTAGTTTTTGTATATTTTGTAGAGATGGGGTTTCACCATGTTGTCCAGGCTGATCTCGAACTCCTGATCTCACTTGATCCAGCCTCCTCAGCCTCCCAAAATGTTGGGTTACAGGTGTGAGCCACCGTTCAGAACCTTGTGTGTTATATTATAATAGGTCTCTTCCTTTGCACCACCCCTCATGTATCTCTCACTCCTCTGCCAAGTATTGATTTACATGTAGGAAAAATAAATCTCAGAAAGAAATCAATGAAGTGAAGATTAAACAATTAGGAAAAATCAAACCAGGCAAGCCCTCCCTGCAAATTACTCTACCTCACAAACACATCTTGTGTCCATCTTTCATTCATTTAGTGTCTAAATCAGCACCACATTTCACCAGGGGGGCGGGAATTGCCTTTTCCACAGTCTCCTAGATTCCAGTTATGCACCTGGGCCTCCCTTATTTTCATGTCAGTCACTATTCATCATGTAGGGATTCCCAGTTAGCCCCGAGGTAAGTCCAATGGCTGTGAGTATCAAACACACGCTCCTTGTTCCTCCTTAGTTTCCTGTGTACCCAGAGTGCTCTCTGTCTCTCCACAGTCGTCTTGTCATTCTCCCCATGTCATTCCCAGCATTTCAGGCAGAGCCTCTTCCTTCCACATAACATTGTTTTCACCTTTGTGCCTTCACGGCTGACAGCTGTGTGGAAAATCCTTCCGCCAATCTTCCAGGGGTTGATCTATTTTTTTCATTAAGGTCACAAGTATTATTTGATCAGTGAGAACTTCTCTGTCACCCGAAATTATACACTCAGCATTATCTATTATTTCTTTTAAAATACGGCTCGGCGCCTTGGCTCACGCCTCTAATCTCAGCACTTTGGGAGGCTGAGACGGGCGGATCCCTTAAGGTTGGGAGTTTGAGATAGCCTGGGCAACATGGTAAAACCTTGTCTGTACTAAAAAAAAATACCAAAAAAAAATTAGCCAGGCGTGGTGGGACATGGGTGTAATCCCAGCCTCTCGGGAAGCTGAGTGTAGAGAATCGCTTTAACCTGGGAGGTGGAGGTTGCGGTGAGCCGAGATCCCGCCACTGCACTCCAGCCTGGGGCACAGAGGGAGACACCGTCTCATAAAAACAACCAATCAATCAATCATTCTCATGCACAGATGCTTCCCAATGGATCATTCATTTATTGGTCCACTGGTGTATTCATTTTCTGCCCTCCCATTTAATCCTTTGCAATATCAGTGTCCAAGAGCAGAGGCCAAATGCACCTTGTTTACCATTTGTGGAAAGGATAAGAATGCCGCCCCACCCCAAAATGTTCCTGTCCTAGTCGCCATATCTTGTGAATATGTTATTTTACATGGAAAAAAGGAATGCAGATTGCAGATGGAATTACGGTTGCTAATCAGCTAACCTTAAAAGGAGGGTATCCTAGATGATTTTAGGGAAATTATGATGGATTATCTTGGTGTTTCCAATAGAATGCCAAAGTCCTTAAAAGATGAGGAAGAAGGCAGAGCAGCATTCAGAGAAAGAGGTGTGGACAAGGAAGAAGGGTCTGAGTGATGCCGTGTGAGAGGCGTGACCAGCCTTTGTGGACTTTGAGGGAGGAAGACGGGGACCAGGAGCCAAGGAATGTGGGAGCCTCTAGGAGCTGGGAAAAGTGAGGAAGCAGATTCTTGCCTGGAACATTCAGAGGGAAGGCAGCCTTGCTGTCACCTTGATTTTAGCCCAGTGAGATGATGCATTTCATACTTCTGAGCTACAGCACCATGAGATATTTTTTAAAAATGTGGTTTCCATCCACGAAGCTTGTGGAAATTTGTTATGGCAACATAGGAAAAAGTTCCACACTGCACAGTCTGAGCATGGGGCAGTGGCTGAACGAGTAAGTGGAAGTGTCATGTGCACGGATGAACTACGTTCTCTCTTACCGCAAAGCTCTTGTTCCACTAAGTCAACCAGGGTTGGATCATGACAGACAGGAGCTCATTCCTTGGCAAGTAGAACTTCTCTACAAACACACCACCCTCAAAAATGTTCCCCTTCCTTCCCCTTCTCAAGCCCCCAGGCATTTGTCCTCCCAGTTAGGAATGCAGGCAGAACAAACACAGCATTTTTCCTGAGAAGAATGTCTGATTTGCACTCATCCTTCTACCCTGAGGTCTCAGCAGCAGAAAATTAGAGATTAAGAGATTTCACTGAGCCCTGTGCTGGGCCCAGATCCCTTTCGCTGTTGGAGTGTCTGGGGTTCAGAGACAATGGAAGACAGGCCCACAATCACAGAGCTGGCAGGTGCTGAGCCAACGCTTGAATCCAAGGCTTCTACCTCCCCAGGTTTCCAAAAGCAGAGATAAGAGGGGTCCTTCACTTACCAGTTTTGAAGCTTGGTTCAGTGGGTGAAGGCCAACTACTAGAAGGGTTTCCTAGAACATGGGACAGGAGAGAGGTGTGGCAATGAGGATGCCTGTCTTTTCTACTCAATGGAAATCTTTGAGGTTGGTTCATGGCCAACCTTCTATTATCTAATGTTGGGCCCTGGGAGTCCTGGCATCCCATTCTCCATAATCATTGTAGGTGACACCAACTATCTTGAGACTTCAAGGTATAAGGAGAAAACAGGAGCATCACACTACCTGACTTAAAAATATGTTACAGAGCTGTAGTAAGCAAAACAACATGACATTGGCATAAAGAAAAGCACATAAAACAATGAAGCAGAATGAAGAACACGGATGTAATCCACCCATTTACATCCAATGGACTTTGACAAAGGTTCGAAGAATCTACAATCTGGAAAGGACAGTCATTTCAATAAATGGTGCAGGGAAAACTGGATATCTACATGCAGAGGGATGAAACTGCACCTCTACCTCTCACCATACACAAAAATCAGATGAAAATGGATTAATGACTTAAGACCTGAATCCATTAAATGTCTAAAAGGAAACACTGGAGAAATGCTCCAGGACATTTGTCTGAGGGAAGACATTTTGTTTAAAACCTCAAAAACACAAGTAATCACAACAACAACAAAAAAAATAGACCATTGGGATTATATCAAATCAAGCAGCTTCTGCACCGCAAAGGAAGCAACCAATGAAGTGAAGAAGAGAAAACCCACAGAATGGGAGCAAATATTTGCAAACTATGCATCTGAGATGGGATTAATAACTAGAATATAAAAGAAGCTCAAACACCTCAATAAAACTAATAATTTAATTATAAAATTAGTAAAAGACCTGAACAGACATTTCTCAATGAACAAAACATACAAATGAACATATATACATTGCATATATGAAAAAGTGCTCAGTATCACTAATCATCAGAGAAATGCAAATGAAGTCACAATGAGCTATCATCTCACCCCATTACAATGGGTTTTATCTCAGAGACAGACAAAACAAATGTTGGCAAGGTGGTGGAGAAAGGAGAACCCTGATACACTGTTGATAGGAATGTAAATTAATACAGCCATTACAGAGGAGAAGAATATGGAAGTTCCTTAAAAACTGAAAAGAGATTAGGCACTGTGGCTCACGCTTGTAATCCCAGCACCTTGGGAGGCTGAAGTGGGCAGATCACTGGAGGTCAAGAGTTCGAGACCAGCCTGGCTAACATGGTGAAACCCCGTCTCTACTAAAAATACAAAAATCAGCCAGGCTTGGTGGCGGGCACCAGTAATCCCAACTACTCGGGAGGCTGAGGCTGGAGAATCACTTGAATCCTGGAGGTAGAGGTTGCAGTGAGCCCAGGTGGTGCCATTGCACTCCAGCTTGGGCAACAAGAGTGAAACGCTATGTCAAAAAAACAAAAAGCATAAAACAAAACCTAAAAAGAGAACATCCAGAGGATCTAGCAATTCCACTAGTGGGTGTAAATGCAAAGAAAAGGACTTCAGTGTATTGAAGTGACATCTGCACTCCCATGACTGTTCCAGCACTGTTCACAGTAGCCAAGATGTGGAGTCAACCTACCTGCCCATCAGTGGATGAATGGATAGAGAGAATGTAGTACATACACACAATGGAGACAACTCATCCATAGAAAGAGTAACGTCCTGTCATTTGCAGCCACATGGATGGACTAGAGGTCATTACAAGGATTGCCATTTCTTACTCACATGCAGGATGTAAAAGGTGGACCTCATGAAGGTAGAGAGTAGAATGGTGGATACCAGAGGTTAGGAAGGAAGGGGTGGAGGGTAACAAAAGAAGAATATAAAAGTATTTATTTATTTATTTATTTAGAGACAGAGTCTCTCTGTGTCACCAGGCTGCAGTGCAGTGGCATGATCTCAGCTCACTGCAACCTCCTCCTCCTGGGTTTAAGCCACTCTCCCGCCTCAGCCTCCCAAGTTGCTGGGATTATAGGCGCCTGGCACCATGCCTGGCTAATTTTATTTTTTTTGTCTTTTTAGTAAAGATTGGTTCCCCCATGTTGGCCGGGCTGGTCTCCAGCCCCTGATTTTAAATGATCCACCTGCCTTGGCGTCTCAAAATGCTGAGATTACAGGCGTGAGCCACCGCACACAGCATATAAAGGTATTTATGATCCCTAGATTTTACACTTAAAAATGGTAAAGTTGATAAATTATATAGGTATATTTAACCTCAATCAGCATTTTTTCAAAGGAAAAGAAAAAGTGTAGGGGTTGCTGGTGATGACATCTCTGTGTAGGTGAGAGGCCAGGGTGGGCTTCTGGGAAATGGGTAAGGTTGAGGGGCTGAGGGAACCTCTGATCTCCCCAAACTGAGCCCAGTCTCCCTCCTCTGGGTCTGTCCTGACCACTTTCTCCATCTGCCTGGGTACCCGGAGCCCTTACTGCAAGCTTCCATGCAGGCCATGCAGGAGGGTTTGGAGGTGCCCTGTCTGCCATCCTGTGCCCTGATCCCACCCTCACACCATGCTGCATCTTCTCTCCACATCTGTCCATGCTTCTCTCCATCATCAGCAGGAAGCTCCTCAGCTAAGGCTCTAGGACCATAGGACATGGGACAGACATTGGCTTTCCTCACCTGTGACAGAAACAGGCAGTGGGTCACTCGCGTCTGACCACTCGTAGGGAGATCCATGGAAAGAGCCGAAGCATCTGTAGGTCTCTCCGTGGGTGGCAGGACCCAGAGGGAAGTCGGCCTGGAATGTTCCATTGATGCTGGGCACTGCAGGGAGCCTAAGTTCATGGGCTTCCCCCTCCCTGGATAGATGGTAGATGTCAAAGGAGCTCTGGGAGCTGCAGGACAAGGTCACGTTCTCTCCTGTGCGAACCGTGGGGCCCGGCCGGGCTGTAAGCGAAGGTTTCTCATATAGACCTGGAAGGAGAAGAGGCAGTTTCCTCAGGGAGGTTCTTCCTTGTCACAGCTCCCCTCCCACCTGAGCTGAGAACTCACTGCCCTGCTCTATGGCCTAGTGCTCTCTCTCTCTCTCTCACCCTCCACCCCCAACTCTTCCTGTCGATCCCTCCCTATGTGGTTCCAGCCTGGTGGTGGCATCAGCAGTGCACCCTTGCTGATCTCAGGGTAGCCAACCTTCTTGTTTGGTTTTTTAACTTGTCCTTCACCTGGGTTCCTGTGTTGGTTTCCTGTTGTTGCTGGAGAAAATTATCACAAACATGGCGACAGGAGAGAACACACTGACCCCTTCCACTTCTGGAGACAGAAATCAGACCCTGTTCTTCCTGGGCTACAATCAATGCATCTGCAGGGCTGCATTCCCTCTGGAGACTCGGGAGAATCAGTTCCATTGATTTCTCCAGCCCCTTCGTGGCTCGTGGTCTTCCTCCACCTTCAAAGCCCACAGTGGCTGGTGGAGTATCCCACGATGCTGCTCTAATCCCCATTCTCCTCTTCCTTCTCCACTCATATGGACCCTTGTGATTACACTGAGCCCAGTGGGAGAGTCCAGGCCATCTCCCCATCTCAAGGTCAACTCATCAACAACCTGAGCTCCATCTTCCCCTTCAGTCCCCTGCCCTATAACATAGTCACAGGCTCCAAGGATTACAATGTGGCCATCGATGGGGACAGTTATTCTTTCCAACACAGCACCCATTCCCCTGTATTCAATCCCCCTTTACCCCAAATATAGTTGGGGCCTGGATGATCGGACTCTGGTGGACACCCCCACCAGAAGCTCTGGGACTCAGGAGGTGGGACAAGGAGAAGCCCAGACAGGAGCCCTCTGACCTGTGACCATGATCACCAGGGGGTTGCTGGGTGCCGACCACTCAGTGGGGGAGTGCGGGTGAAAACCTCGACATCTGTAGGTCCCTGCGTGTGCTGGGGTCACAGGGCTAATGAGGAAACTGTTCCAGAATATTCTGTTGTAGAGCTCAGGGACAGGGACCCCATCTTTCTTGTACAGCGTGAAGATGTTAAACCCACGACGATAGTGACACCGAAGAGTCACGTGTCCTCCTTGAGGCACCACAGCGCTGGGCCAGGCAGAGCAGAAGGGCTTGTCCTGACCACCTTGGGGAGAAGGAGATGCCGCCTCAGAGAGGAGTATGTTGAGCTGCCCCTCCCTCCCTGTGCTCAGAAGATTCTCCCCATTTCTTCTTTCTAAGGCTCCTACCACACCTGGGTGCCTGGGGCTACAGGAAGGACCCATCCCGCATAGACGTGGCGTCTCCCTACAACAAAAGTGTCAGTTGAGAACTGAGCAGGTGCTGAGTAAGGGACTCTTACTAGATTTTAATACTGCAAGATTAGTTACACCAAACAACACAAAGTAGACATGGGGTGGAGGGTATGACCTTTGTGAATGGAATATTAGCTAATGCCTGAACCACAATAAACAACTGAGCTCCATCAGAGGATTTGGAATGGCAGGGTCGTGGCTGTGGTTCCCCCACCTCTTCTGGCAGAATGACAGCAGCCACACTGCAGCCCCTACCGTCATGGAAACGCTGGAGGGTGTGAGTTACCCTCTTGTCCTCAGAGGACCTGCTGTTCCTAACACTGCTACCCTTCCCTCCTCTGTCGGTGACACCACATCCCCCCACACACCCCAGCTTTGAGCACCTCAGTATCCCGCCTGGGCCACACAGAGCTCAACTCAGCCATGGGGAAGAAAGGCTGGGGAGGGCTAAGACAAAACAGAGGGCTGAGCATACCAGGATCTCCTCTTACTAGTTCATGAGAGACTCCCAGGATCTCCTCTTACTAGTTCATGAGAGACTCCCAGGATCTCCTCTTACTAGTTCATGAGAGACTCCCAGGATCTCCTCTTACTAGTTCATGAGAGACTCCCCCCAGGCCTTCCCATGGTCAGCCCATCAGCCCACCCTCTGTGCTGCCTCCCTCCCATTTCCGGAAAATTCACTTGTATTGGGGTGAAGATGGCAACCCATCATTTGGGGAAGGACTCACCCACGTGTGCCCACACACTCTGGTCCAAGAAGAACCCTGCAAAGAAAGATCATGATGAACTATTCATCTCGGCACCAACCTACCCTTTCCTCCTGAGCCACTGGGCGCCACGCTGGACTGAAAATTAACTCATCCTCACCACTCACTTGCTTCAGAACATGGCTCTCTGCTGGGGAGACACCCAATCTGCAGGCCCATAGTGTAACCCTGGTGCTCCTTCCCTTCCAGGACTCACCAAGACATGCCAGGATGATGACCGTGGGTGACATGGACATGGTGCAGCTTCTGCTGCCAGGACGCAGTGACTCGGCTCGACTGACCGGTGCAGAGGATGTGGTGAGGGGCCCGGATCGTGCAGTTGACACATTGACCACAACATGTGAAGGGGACATAGGTAGGCTTCTTCTACGTCATATGAGGTTCAAGTGGTGAGTCAGTCAAGGGAGGAATGAGGGTTTCTGAAAACTGCAGACTAGACTTGTCAGTTCACATCATGCGCAACGGCCAGGCTCAAAACACATCTCAGACTCACTTACCCCTGCACGGGACGATTGAATTCTGCACTCACATGAGGAACTTTTGATGTATTTTTTTTTGTTTCTACCTGAGATTCAAACTCTCCTTGATATGTAATATGCAAAATACCTAATAGGTTTTATTAACACTATAGAGCAATCGTATTAAATAAATCATCATAATTTTCCATGGTTGTATTTTTCCTGTTAAGCCAGAAACAGATAAAATGATTTAAATCCCAGTAGAAAAGACTATATAGTTATTTCGCATCATAGAATTCCACCTTATTAGCAAAAACACAATATGTCAATTGAAGGTCTGGTCGTGTTATCTAGAATTTGTCTTATGACACAAGAGTCCAAATTCACAGTTCCCTGTCTCCCTTTTTGTCTCTCTGTAACGTGTGCTTTTTTTCTCCCTGTGTTGTTTGTGTGTCTTTCTTTCTCTCTCTCATTTGAGGAAAAAATATCAGACTGATAACATCCTCCAACTTGATACTGGAATATTGCAATAACTGAAGGTTGAAATCTACACATTTAATGTGCTGTCATTCTTACAAATGTCTCTTATTTACACCTACCTTTCTGGAGTTTGTAAGAACTTTTTCACTATGCATTTTAAATTTGTAAAACTCATAATTTTTAAAAAGGGATGGGTCTCACTGTTTGCCCAGGGTGGCCTTTACTCATTCTATAAGGCTGGCATCACCCTGATACTAAAGACAGAAAAGAATATTAAACAAAAGAAAACTACATGCCAATATTCCTGATGAGCATAGATGCAAAAATCCACAAAAAATACTAAGAACTGAATCCCGCAGCATATCAAAAAGTGAATCCACCATGATCAAGTCAACTTTATTCTTAGGGTGCAAGGTTGGTTGAACATACACAATCAATACATGTGATTCATCACCTAAACAAAACTAAAAACAAAAACCACATGATCTTCTCAACACACATGTAGAACATACTTTTTACTAAGCATTTCTTCATGTTAAAAGCCCTCAACAAGCTAAGCATTGAAGAAACATAACTCAATATAATAAGAGCCGCCTATGACAAACCCACAACCAACATCATACTGAATGAGTAAAAGCTGGAAGAAGTTCCCTTCATAAGTGAAACAAGACAAGAATGCCCACTCTCACCATCCTATTCAACATAGTACTTGAAGTCCTAGACAGAGCCATCAGGAAAGAGAAAGAATTATAAGGCATCCAAGTAAGAAGAGAGTAGCAGAGAGAGGTAGTCAAATTACCTCTGTTTGAAGATGAGATAATTTCTATACCTAGAAACCCCATAGTCTCTGCCCAAAGGCTCCTACATCTGAGAAACAAACTTCAGCACAGTTTAAGGGCAGAAAGTCAATGTACAGGCTGGGTGTGGTGTCTCAGCCTGAAATCTAGCACTTTGGGAGGGCGAAGCGGGTGGATCACCTGAGGTCTGGAGTTCGAGACCAGCCTGGCCAACATGGCGAAACCCTGTCTCTACTAGAAACACAAATATAGCCGGACGGGGTGGTACGCAACTGTAGTCCCAGCTGCTTGGGAGGCTGAGTCAGGAGAACCGCTTGAACCTGGGAGGCAGAGGTTGCAGTGAGCGGAGATCACGCCATTGCACCTCAGCTTGGGCAACAACAGTGAAACTGCGTCTCAAAAAAAAAGCCAAAACAAATTTAATTAATGAGGAAAAGGGTATTTGTGGTGTCCATCATGATGTTTTCATATAGGTACACATTGTGGAATGGATGAAACAACCTCTTTATCTATTTATTTTTTCACATACTTGTATGTTTTGTGTGTGTGGTGAGAACATGTAAAATCTAATCTCTTAGTAATGTTCAATACACCATATGTTGCTATTAAATGGAGTCACCAAGACATACAATAGATCTCTTGAACCGATTTCTTCTAACTGAAATTTTGCATCCTTTGACCAACATCTCTTCAATCTCTCTCCTTCCCAGGTTCTTTCGACGACCATTTTACTGTTCCTCTAGGTTCCACTTCTTACACTCCACACATGAGATCATGTGGCATTTGTCTTTCTGTGCCTGGATTGTTTCCCTTAACATAATGTCCTCTAAGTTTTTTCACATTGTCACAAATGAGAGGACTTCCTTCTTTGTTGTAAAGGTTGTATAGTACTTCATTACGTTCCTATCGTATACCACGTTTTCTTTGTCCATGCACCCATAGATGGGCAGTAAGGGTGATTCCACATCTTGGCTGTTATGAATAATGCGGCTGTAAACATGGGAATGCAGATATCTCTTCAACATACTGATTCCACTTCCTTTGGATACATGCGCAGTAGTTGGATTGCAGACACATATGGGAATTCTATGTTTAATTTTTTCAGGAACTTCCAGACTGTTTTCCATAATGGTTGTGCTAATTTACATTCCCATCAACTGCATACAAATGTTCCCTTTTCTCCACATCCTCGTTAATGCTTGTTATTTTTTATGTTTTTGATAATGGTCTTTTTTTTTTTTTTTTTGAGACTCAGTCTTGCTCTGTCACCCAGGCTGGAGTGCAGTGGCACAATCTCGGTGTACTGCAACCTCTGCCTCCTGGGTTCAAGCGATTCCCCTGCCTCAGTCTCCAGAGTAGCTGGGACTACAAGTGTGCGCCACCAAACTCTGCTAATTTTTGTATTTTTAGTAGGGATGGGATTTCACCATATTGGCCAGGCTGGTTTCGAACTGCTGACCTCAGGTAATCTCCCTGCCTCGGCCTCCCAAAGTGCCTGAATTACAGGCATGAGCCACCATGCCCAGACTGTTAATGGTCATTCTAAGAGGTGTGAGGTGATATCTCATTCTAGTTTTAATTTTTATTTAGCTGATGTTTAGTAATGCTAATCATTTTTTCATATACCTTTTGGTGATTTGTCTTATTCTTAGAAATGTTTATTCAGATACTTTGCCCATTTTTTTAAGTTGGGTTATTTGATTTCTTACCATTGAGTTGTTTGAGTTTCTTATATATTTTGGATATTAATTCCTTATTAGATGTATGGGTGCAAATATATTCTCCCATTCCATAGGTTGTCTTTCCACTTGTTGAGTTTTTTTTTTTCTTTGCAGAAACTTTCAATTTGATATAATGTTATTTGTCTACTTTTGCTTTTGTTGCCTGGGCCTTTGGGTTAATATCCAAAATGGTTTTGCCCAAGCCAGTGGAGTTTTCCCTTGATTTCTTTTAGTAGTTTTTTTTTTTTTTAAGATGGAGTCTCACTCTGTTGCCCCGGCTGGAGTGCAGTGATGCGATCTCGGCTCACTGCAACCTCTACCTCCTGGGTTCAAGTGATTCTCCTGTCTCAACCTCCCGAGTAGCTGAGATTACAGGCACCCACAACCACACCCAGCTGTTTTTGTATTTTTAGTAGAGGCGGGATTTCACCATGTTGGCCATGCTGGTCTTGGAATCCTGACCTTAGGTGATCTGCCCGCCTTGGCCTCCCAAATTGCTGGGATGATAGTCTTTCACCTTACATTTAAGTCATTAATCTATCTTGAGTTGACTTTGTATGTTTTGTGAGGCAAATGTCCACTTCCATTCTTCTGCATGTCTCCCAATCCCATTTATTAAAGAGACTGTTCCTTCTCCATTGTGTGTTCTTGATACATCCCAAAAATTGTTTGACCCTAAATGCGTGCATTTTTTTTCCTGGGCTATGAATCACTTCCATTGGTCTATGTGTCTGTTTTTATGCAAGTACTGTGTTGTTTTAATTACTGTAACTTTGTAATGTAGTTTGTGTTTAGGTAATGTGATGCTTCCAACTTTGTTCCTTTCCCTCTAGATGGCTTTGGTTATTTGAGATCTTTTGTGGTTCCACATGAATTTTAGGACTGTTTTTTCTATTTCTGTAAAAAAAAATGTCATTGGATTTTTGATAATGGTTGCATTGAATCACTTTGGATAGAATGGACATTTTAACAACATTAATCCTTCTGATCCGTGAACATGGAATATCTTTCGATTTATTTGTTTATTTCTTGAGTTTTTTCATCAATGTTTTATAGCTTTTGCATACAGATCTTTCTACTCCTTGGGTGAATTTATTCCTGCATGTTTTGTTTTCTGTAGTTATTGCAAATGGGCTTATTTTCTTGTAAACTTTTTTGGATAGTTTGTTGTTAATGTATAGAAACTTTGTTGTTGTTGTTGTTGTTGTTGTTTTGATGATACCCATCCTAAGGGGTATGAAATGGCATCTGGTGTAGTTTTAGTTAGTATTTCCCTAATGATTCGTGATGCTGAATATCTTGTCATGCGTATGTTCTTTGGAGAAATGTCTGTTTCAGTACTTTGCCCATTTTTGAATTGAGTTTATTGTGATTGAGTTTTAGGAGTTGTCTGTATATTCTGGATGTTAATCCCTTACAGGTGGTGTGGTTTGAAAACATTTTCTCCCATTCTGTGGGTTGTCTTTTTACTTTGATAATATCGTCTTAAAAGTTCTTTTTCCTTGCCATGTGAAGTAACTGATGTTGTCTTTTGAGTCACAATATTTCAAAATTTTCATAAAGTCTAACTTGTTTATTTTTTCTGTAGTAGCCTGTGCCGTTGTTGTCACATCTAAAGAATCACTGCCAAATCCGATGTTGTGAAGTTTTCCTTTGTGTTTTCTTCTAAGACTTTAATTAAATTTTATTTGTCAATATTTAGGACTGACAAAAGCTTTTTAACATTCCTGGCACCATCTCAGTTATTGATCTACTCCCAAGATGGATCATTTCAATTAAAACATGTAAAGCATGACCTCACCTGAATGTGTTTGAACTTGCTCTTCTCCCTTTCAAATCGACTCCCTCACTTACATAGTTTGTGTTCAAATGTCAACAAATAAAACATAAAAAGAAATCAATCTTTTCATAGACCCTTTATCTAAAATAGAATAGTAGGTGCCATGACATTTCATCCTTTCATCTTGAATTATTTACTTTTCTACATGAACCAATCCATTCTTCTGTGTGCATGTGTGTGTGTGTGTGTGTGTAGTTTATCTGTCTACATATAATGTAAACACCAAAAAATAACAGACATTTAGTAATTTTCAAATGAGACTTCAGGAATTAACAATGGCTTGCCATTTTTAGTGTGTTATTATTATTATATTTAGATGAACAGAATTGCCTCAGGAACATGGCCAGGGGCTCATAGTCCAGGAGAACTGTGGCCTGACTCAGGTACATTTTACCTGCAATAACAGCAATTGCAGGTCACTGGAGTCCATCACAATTGGCTGGAGACAAATGTAAGACAAGAATATTTGCAGTTTCCCCAGACTGACACAGTTGCAGGTTCCCCGAAGTAATGAGTCCTGAGACACCTCCAACAAGAGCTAGAAAAGGTATCACTTCAAGAGGAGTTGCAGCCTACTCATTTTAGACAAATGGAGCAAAATTACAGTATCACATCTTTTCCTTTCTCCTTCATAGAATCTGGATGAACAGAACAGAAAGAGTTAATGGAATATAAGATTCCAATTCTCTGGCATGAGAAAATAGACAAGGAAAGGAAGATTCATCTTCATCACATCTCAGACATGCTTGGACACAGGGTCCAAGCACAAAAGAGAAACACATACTTCTTCCCATCCACACTGGGATCCAGGGTCTTCTCCCTCCTGTCAGGCCAGAACTGAGTCTCCACTCCCCAATTTAGTTCCCAGAGATGAAGCCCAATTTTCCTCTGTCTCAAGCTTTGAAGGCCAGCTTTAGCGTGTTCACCATGGATGAATGAAGGTGAGGTCAGAGGTTTGGGAAATGGTCAAGAATGAGGTGAGAAGAGAGCTGTGGAGGCATGGCCCCGGGGAGCTTGGTACCCCCCCATATCCAGAGCCTGTCTGGTCCAGGAGAGTTCCCAACCCTGTGAGCACCAACTCCGGATATTCTGGGCAGTGACCCGAGGGACAGCCTCTTATGAATACAGGCTGTTTTCCTCCAGTGTCTGCTGTGAAACCAGGATGTACAACATGGCCGTGTTCAACCCAACAATGGACTTAGGATTTTGCTGTACGCCAAAACTCAGTGTCCAACTTCCACTCTGTTTAGCTGGAAAAAGAAGGGGTTTGTTCCCATACATCTCACTCCTGTGTTCCTCTTTCAGTCTCAAAGCTCAGATGAAAACAATGAGTGTCACTTATTGTCAATCCTCTTCCCTGCCTTTTCCACACTCATCAGTATTACCGTTTACATTGAGACTAAAGATGGCCAATCACCACTTTTCTTCGGAAAAATCAACCTGATGTTGTACCTACTTTTTTAGAGGTGGAATCAACCTACCCTAAGATGCCAACTACATTTTACTGAATGGACTTTTGTGGATCCCCTCGATGTATATAGTGGCACCTTGAGGTATCATCCCTGTCTTTAGCAAATGAATATTATCCCAAGGACAATATTTCATCACAATTATTCGGGATGGACGAGTGGATATTGTGGTAGCAAGAACATTACTAAAAGTCACAGCTGATACAACACACTTGAAACCCATCTGGCCAATCTCCCACAGACAGAATGTCGCGCCATTCACTCCAGCCAGCTTCAGTCATGTTTCTTCCATTTCCACCTGTGGCCCCTCATGTCTCCACCAGGTCTTAGCCAGCATTGCCAAAAGAGCCAGGAAGACCAGACCAGCCACAACAATCCTGATGGAACTCTCCACAGTATAGTTCTGGAGAACAGGGGCTGGAGGGTGGGGGTAAGATCAGAGACCTTTCCATGTGGGCCAGGCCCCTCTCTCCCCAGAAGCTCTGAAATGGAGCTATTTCCCCATCTCACCTTCATAAAATTCTTCCTGTCCAGAACCCCTCTTCTCCCTATATCATCATGAGCACCTTCAGAAGTCTTTTGCCACAAAAAGAAATTTCTTTTGAAGATATACATTTTTTTGTACATTTCAAAAATGTTCCCAAACTAATTCTCCAAAGCAATAAATGTTTGTGTGTATTGCTGGGTAGGTTATGCATACAAGGAAAGGAAGCATAGTGAGTCTGATTTGGCAGAGGAAACATATGTGGAAATTATATCATTTACTCTCTTTACAAAATTAAGTACAAAATTGAAAACACTGGTAAGAAAGAATGAGCTATAGAGAAAGAAAACATCTGAGATGCTTGTTTCCAAGATGGCTGACTAAATGCTTTTCTGGCATGTCTCATCCACTTAGAAGAACGAGCAGAATCCAGAACAAAAACCATATGATCATCTCAATAGACATAAAGAAAAGCATCTGAAAAGAAATTCAACATCCTTACCTGATGAAAACCCTCAAAAACTTAGGCATAGAAAGAACATACCTCAAAATAATAAAAGCCATAGATGACATATCTAGAGTCAACATCATACTGAACAGGAAAAGTTAAAAGCACTCCTCTGAGAACTGGCACAAGACAAGGACACGGACATCCACCACTTCCTATCAACATAGTACTGGAAGCCTTGTCAGAGCTATTGGGCAACAGGAAGAATTAAAAATCCAAATTAGAAAAGAGGAAGTAAAATTATTTTTATTTCTGATGCTATGATCTTAAATCTAGAAAATCCTAAAGACCCTGCCAAAAATTCTTATGATTGATAAATGAACTAAGTAAAGTTTCAGAATACAAAATCAATATGTAAAAGCCAGTAGCATTTCTCTACACCTATAATGATCTAGCTGAGAACCAAATCAAGAAGGCAATGCCGTTTACAATAGATACGCAAAATTAAAACACTCAGGAATACATTTAACCAAGGTGGTGAAAGAGCTGTACCAGGAAAGGTGTAAGACACCAATGAAAGCAATTATAGATAATACAAAAAAAAAAAAAGAAAAAAAATCCCACGCTCATGGATCATAAGAATTAATATTGTTAAAATGACCATACTGCCTAAAGCAATCTACAGATTCAGTGCAATTCTTATATGAAAATAGTAACACCAGCTTTCACAGAATTAGAAAAAGCAATCCTAAAATTCATACAGAACCAAAAAAGATCCTAATAGAGAAAGCAATTCTAGGTGAATGTAGAAACCTGGAGGCATCACGCTATCTGACTTCAAACTATGCTCTAAGGCTATAGTAACTTAAATAGCACAGTGCTGGTATAGACACAGAAACAGAGATCAATAGACCAGAATAGAGAGCCCAGAAATACAGCCTCATATCTACAGTGAATAATCATTGACGACGTTAACAAAACATACACTGGAGAAAGATTTCCTTTTCAATAAAAGGTGCTGGGAAAACTAAATAGCCATATGCAGAAGAATAAAACTGGACCTGTATCTGTAATCATACACATAAATTAACTTAAGGTAATTAGCAGCTTAAATGTAAATCCAGAACTATAAAATCACCGGTGGAAACCCAAAGAGAAACTCTTCTGGGCATTGGTCTGGGCAAAGAATTCATCACTAAGACCTCAAAAGCACAGGCAATAAAAATAAAACTAGACCAATGGGACTTAATAAACGAAAGAGCTTCTGCCAAGCAAAGGAAATAGTAGCAGGGTGAACAGACAACCCACAGAATGAATGGAAATGTTTGCAAACTATGCACCCAACAGAGGACTAACATCCAGAATTTCTAGGCAACTCAAACAACTAAACATAACCCCTCAAATAATAGCATTAAAAAGTGGGCAAAGGGATATACATAGACATTTTTCAAAAGAAGACATACGAATGGCCAAACAGCGTATGAACATCACTAATCATCAGAGAAATGCAAATTGAAACCACAATGAGATATCATCTTACAGTAGTCAGAATGGCTATTACTAAAAATGCTGGTGGGGAGTGGTGGCTCACGCTTGTAATCCCAGCACTTTGGGAAGCTGAGGCGGGTGGATCATGAGGTCAGGAGTTTGAGACCAGCCTGACCAACATAGTGAAACCCCATCTCTACTAAATATACAAAAGATTAGCTGGGCATGGTGGTGTGGTTCTGTAATCCCAGCTACTCAGGAGGCTGAGGCAGGAGAATCATTTGAACCTGGTTGGTGGAGGTTGCAGCGCGTGGAGATGGCGGCACTGCACTCCAGCCTGGGTGACAGTGGAAGACTCCATCTCAAAAAGAAAAAAAGAAAAAGTGAAACATATAACAGGTGTTGGCAAGGATGCAGAGAAAAGGAAACTCTTATACACTGTTGGCCGGTATGTAAATTAGTATAGCCTCTATGGAAGACAGTATGGAAATTTGGCAGAGAACCAAAAATAGAAGCACCATTCGATCTAGGGGTCCCGCTGCTGGGTATCTACTCAAAAAATACCTGCACCTGTATGTTTATTGCAGCACTGTTTGCAATAGCAAAGATATGAAATCAATCTAAGTGTCTGTGAATGAATGATTGGATTAAAAAAAGGATGCGTGTATACACAACGAAATACTATTTGGTCATAAAAATAAAACCATGTCTTTTGCAGCAACATAGATGGAGCTGGACGCCATTATTTTACATAAAACCACTCAGAAAGACAAATACCACATCTTCTCACTCTACATGGGAGGGGAGTAATGTGTACATATGGACGTAGAGTGTGGAATGACGGACAGCGGAGGCTAGAAGGCTGGAGGGTGGCGGGACGTGGGTGAGTGATGAGAATTTGCTTAATGAGTACAATGTACGGTATTTGGGTGATGGATATAGTAAAAGTCCTGACTTCACTACTCTGCAACATACTCATGTCACAAAATTACAAGTGTACCTCATAAATTTATACTAATAGAAAAGAAAGTCTGTACACAGTAATCAATTGTGATATGTAGATAAAGTCAATATTAAATTTAAACCAGAATAACTAGTTAAAATGTTGTGTACACAACAGTGAAGAGAGTATTTATCCTCTATGACAGAGGAAACCATCAATATTAATGCACAGAAAAAGCAAATAACTGAAACAAGAAAGAGCAGTTTTGTGACAGGGTAAAAATTGACAACAGTTTTAGAATGCTCCTAACTTGAGTTCCAAAAAGAAAGAACGAGAAAACAGGTCAGAAGCAATCTTTAAAGAGGCAATTGTTGATTATTTGGAGGAAGTAGACACATCCATCAATCCACAGGTTCAAGAAATCCAGTGAATGCCAGGCAGAATGAAGTAAACACACCTCACGTTCAACATTACAGAAAAGCAGCATAAAAGCACAACCAACCCTTAAAATTAGCCAGAGGAAAAGGATCAGCTGGTAAGGATTTATAGGGAGCCAAGCATTGTCTTCCCCACAGAAAAAAGGAAAACATAAGCCAGTAGAATAGCATCTTTACCCAGCTAAGATACCGTCGCCAGCCACCGACAATTCCTTACATAGTACAGTTACTGTCCAAGATCAACGCAGGAAAGAAACAGAACTGAAAGACAAAAGGGCAAAGAAAGCTTTTCTCACTGACCCTAAAGGAAATTCTGATGACCGTGCCTCAAAGATAAAGAAAGTGAAACCAGATGGGGTGTCGAAGATTCTGACAATAACTAAGAGCAGAGGAAGAACTAAAAATATGGCTATGCCAAAAATGAATATGGACCATACGATAGTGTATGAAAACACGCCCCTGTGTAATTTCTGAAAAAGATAGAATTATGTATACCACAAAACAAAACATCATATAAGTAAATACAAACATATGTACTAAATATGCTCTAAAATCCTGTTCTTACACAGGAAGAGTGGAAATATGTTTTTATATTTGCAGTTTAATCTCTGAAATGATTAATTTCAATTTTAAAAATATGTAACAACTTCAGGATGAGTACACCATATATGTATTCCTAAACGACATAGATCAAAAATAGAATGTTTGAAATAGAAAACCACAGAAGTCAGTGGGAAAAAAAGGGAATCAGGAAAACACAACGTAATAATAACAAAAATATGATTGGAAGAACTGCTCAAACATGAACAAAAGATTGTCAGAAAGTCTTACTTTCTAAGGCGAATTGTTTGAAATTTACAAAGGACACATCTCAATGTTAACAATTCATGGAGTTTGAAATTAAACAATGTAGAAATATACCAAGCAATCACTGTTAGAAATGTGGTATAACTATATTAAAATTAGACAAAATTAGTCTTTGGGAAAAATCAGCGGAAAACATTAAGCATAAAATGTAGGAAAAAAGCAGGTAAATTTATAGCATTTTAAATTTACCAGGAATATATAATCAGTTTACACTTAACCACTCCCAGTAATATTCCTGCAAATATACATGGAGGAAGAGTCGCGGAAATAAATGGACAGGTAGGCAAATCCACGGCCACAGTGGGGTGTTTAACACTCCTCTTTTCTCAGTTGTTGATAGAAGTGGTTCAGGCAATTAGAGAGGATTTAGAAAGATAATTGCTGGACCTGACCCAAGGTATAAGTCCACTCCCAACCACAGGACTCACTTTCCTTACAAGCACAAGGGCATTTAGAAATCTCTCTGGATTCTGACCAGCCCTCACCATATGGCAGGTCCATGGACTTCTTGGAACACACCAAGCTCATTCTCACATTAGGGTCATCCCCAATGTCCTAAGTCCATGAAAGTTCCTTTCAACACACTCCCCAGGGCTCACTCCCTCTTGTCTCTAAGATCGGAGTTTAAATGTGATCTCTCTGATGAGGTCTCAGTGAGACGTTCCCTCCTGTACACTCCAAATGACAACGTTCCACGTTCATTCATTTCATTCTGTGCATGGCACTTTCACCAAGTGCTAAGGATTCACTCACTAATTCATACATTCATTCATTCATTCATTCACTCATTCCATCATTCACTCATTCATTCATTCTCTCATTCATTCATTCATGTTCTGCCTCTCTCTCCCACCCCACAGCAATGTGAGCATCATGAACCCAGGAGCTTGGCCGTGCTGTCTACTCCTGGCCATGAAACAGAGAGAACTGATGGTAGGTGTGAAATAAATATTAGATGAATGAGTTAGTGAAGGGGTCATTTACTGGGTGAGCTCAGTTCTCTCTACTCTAATGCCCTCCCTCGGCTGACTTCCCTGAGTTGCCCCCTCGGCTGAGTGAAGTCCCTTCACTGGCAAATGGAACCTCAACCAGTAGCACCTAGGTGGTCTCATACTTTGTTCTTTCCCTCTCCTCTTGCTCCCTAAGGATTATCAATCTCCATGACAGGGCTGGAGAGCAGACAAGCCACACATTCTTTCTGGGGAGAGAGTAACATGGAGTACAAGGCATTCCACATTTAGGAAGAGAACTCAGTTATGGAAGGTCAGAAATGAAAAGTTCCTACAGACCAACACCCAGGTTGGTGGCCACAGCCCTAAATGCTGATGGAGAATCACTGCAAGTCTGTAGGGAAGATGTCTGGCTTGAGGCCACTGAGCGAAGTGGCAGATCCTTCTCAGCCTTCAGTGCTGAGCCTCTGTCCCCTCAGGGATCCACTGACCAATGAGAAGAGCCTCTTCTCATCTCCTGGGATGGAGCTTGGGGCCCCTGGCGAAGGAATGGGCCTGTTTCCACCTGTCATGTTGTCATCTAGCTTGGAAATCCTGCGAGTCCCAGGGAGGCCCTCCCCGAGTCCCCAGAGAAGACTCCCCCACTGAGTCTCCAAGGTGTGGAGAGAGCAAAAAACATCTAGGGTGGAAAATGCCTCCCATCAAGAGACATTGGGGCTCCCCCAACGATGGTTGCATCTGTGCCCCCCATGTGGAAATCACTCTTTGGTGAGAGGTGGGGGCTTCTGGAAATGGGCAATGGCGGGCGGCCAATGCTACCTCTAGTCTTTCCAATCTGAGCCCGGCCTTTCATGCTCCTGAGTCAGCATTGATGCTGTTTACATGTGTCCCAGGTGGGCTTCTGTACAAAGACTGGGAAGTGGTTTATGTGGCCTGTGCTCTATCTGCAAGCTTCAGGTAGGGTTGCAGTTACCACCCCAAACCCTAATGTGATCTGTCTGCCTCGCTCTGTCTGTCTGTCTATGCCTCTTTCTGTATGTTTGCTTTGTGTCTCTTCTGTCCAGCATCTCTGGCTGACACCCCCATGGCCACCCCCTCCATCTGAGGCTCCCCTGAATGTGGCCATTGTAGTCCATCTGAGTCCCACTATTTGGGGAACAGACTGGTTTCCTCACCTGTGACAGAAACAAGCAGTGGGTCACTAAGGTCTGACCACTCGTAGGGAGAGTCACGGAAAGAGCCGAAGCATCTGTAGGTCCCTCCGTGGGTGGCAGGGCCCAGAGGAAAGTTGGCCTGGAAGGTTCCATTGACCTTGGGCACTGCAGGGAACCTAAGTTCATGAGCCTCCCCCTCCCTTGATAGATGGTAGATGTCATAGGAGCTCCGGGAGCTGCAGGACAAGGTCACGCTCTCTCCTGCCTTAACCATGGGGCGCGGCTGGGCTGAGAGAGAAGGTTTCCCACATAGACCTGGAAGGAGAAGAGGCAGTTTCCTCAGGGAGGTTCTTCCTTGTCACAACTCCCCTCCCACCTGAGCTGAGAACTCACTCCCCTGCTCTATGGCCTAATGCTCTCTCTCTCTGTCTCACCCTCCACACCATCTCTCTTTATGTCTATTTCCTCTTTCCACCTTCTCTGTCTCTCTAGGTCTCTGACCTCACTTTCTCACCTCTAGATATGTTTTCCCTTTTTGGATTGTTTTATTCTCTCTGACTCTCCTTGGACTAGTTGACTTGATGTTACTTTTTTTAAATTCTGAGTTTCTCACTTTGTGTCCTGTTCATAACTTTCTGCATATTTCTATCTATTATCTATCGATATATCTATTTATCTATTTGGTGCCTATCTACAAATTCTCTACCTGTCATCTATATCTATATATAATCTATTTATCTATCAATTGTCTATCCAAAAATCATCTATTATCTATATCTATGTATCGTCTCTCTCTCTCTATGATTTCTCTTTGTCTGCCTCTCTATCTCTATGTATTATCTATCTATCTTCATCTTCATCATCTCTATGTATCATCGATTAATCAATGAATGAATCAATCATCATCTATGTATCTTTAACCTATTATCTATCATCTACCTATTTATCATCTATCTATATCTATCCATCTATCATCTGTCTTGCTCTGCCTCTCGGTCTCTCTAGTTCTCTTTGGAATCTCTGCAATTCATCCCCACATCTCCATCTTTCTATGTCCTTGTGTCTCTCCCTCAGGACTCTAATTTTAGTGCTTTTCTCTGTTCCCTTCCATTGTTCTCTCCACTTCTCTGCCCTCTTTTCTCCCTCTTTATGTGTCTGTGAGTCTCTCAATCTCCTTCCTCTGGCTCATTCTCTGTGTGTTTATGTCTTTGCTTTTTGGTGTCCCTGATTTCTCTCTGTGTCTCTCAGTGATCCTCTCATATGTGGGGTTATTTGGAATGTGAGCCTCAGAATCCAGTCTGGGGACCGCAAGTTCACACAGTATACAGGGGTTGATGTTCTGGGGCCATGATATCCTGGGACGATTACTCTCCATTGCATGGAAGGCAGAGGTGTCAGAATAAACACGGCATCTGTAGGTGCCAGAAGGCCTGAGGCCACAGGGCCCAACTCAGGCCAGAAATATGGGTGTCCTTGGGTTCTTCTGGTAGAGAACACTTTGTGGAAGTAAAACAGAAATGAAACTTCTAACCTGTGCCAGGTCTCTGAGCAAAGTCAGCATGGAAGGACACCTCTCTCTGGCACATGTCTGTCTGTGTCTCCTTTAACTCTTTCTGTCTTTTCTAACTCCCTGTATGGCCCCTGTGTCTGTCCTCTGTTATGACACCTGGTCTGTACTTGTGTCTCCTGTTTCTCTGTCTCTGTTGGTACAGACCTCACCAAGTTAGTCTCTCTCCATAAGAATACCAAGCTCATCTTCCTTATAACCACCTGGGCCTCCAAGTCGTGGATCATTCACTCTGTGTCCCAGTGACAATGAGAATAATGTCCAGACACTCTCACCTGTAATCACGATGTCCAGAGGGTCACTGGGAGCTGACAACTGATAGGGGGAATGAGGAACAGAACCGTAGCATCTGTAGGTCCCTGCAAGGTCTTGCGTCATGCGACCGATGGAGAAGTTGGCCTTGGAGACCCCATCATGGAGCTCTCCAGTGAGGCGCAAAGTGTCATTAAACGTCCCCTCTCTGTGCAGAAGGAAGTGCTCAAACATGACATCTGACCAACATTGCAGGATGACTGTCTCTTCTGATTTCACCAGGGGACCTGGGTGGGCCAGGAGGGAAGGTTTTCTGTGGACTCCTAGGAAGAGAGGTTGTGACTTTAGAAGGCATCTCTCTTTATCATCCCATCCATGGCACCTAGAATGAGTGAGGCTTCCCCTCGCTGGTGTCTTATCTCTCTCCTTCCTCTCTGTGTCTTCATGTTCTTTTCTGTGCCCATAACTCCTGGTACAGGTCCTTCCATCTGTCTCCCTCCCTCTTCTCTGTCCCTCTGTCTCTAGTAGCTCCTGATTCCCTTGCCGCTGGGCTCAGCCTCATCTCTTGGGCTGTTGTATCTATTTCGAACTAATGTCTTTCCTGCTTCTATGTGGGGGTGGAAGAGGAACCAGGATAGGCTGCACGTCCAGGCTCTTAGCAGACTGGTTCAATCTCTTTTGGACGATTTGGAATCCTTGGCAGAAGGTATGAACTGATCAGTAAGGCAGGCACCAGTGTCCACACACCCTGTTCCTGGTGGGGACTGGGAGCCACTCTTGCCATGCCTGTGCCTTCTCCATGGTGCCAGCTTCCATAGGCTGGCTTCTGGTGCTGGTTTGAGGAGTATCAACCCCTCCCTATGTGGATGGAGCCTGGTGGTGGCATCATCATCCCACCCTTGCTGATCTCGGTGTAGCCAACCTTCTCTTTGTTTGGTTTCTTTAATTAATTAATTAATTTTGGAGTCAGAGTCTCACTCCTTCACCCAGGCTGGAGTGAAGTGGTGTGGTCTAGGCTCACTGCAACCTCTGTCTCCTGGGTTCAAGTGATTCTCCTGCCCTCAGCCTCCTGAGTTGCTAGGATTACATGCACCTGCCACCACGCCCGGCTATCCTTGTGTCCTTTCTTATCTTGTCCTTGACCTGGGTTCCAGTGTTGGTTTCCTGTTGGTGCTGTGGAAAATTATCAGAAGCATGGCAGCAGGAGAGAGCACACTGACCCCTTCCGTTTCTGGAGACAGAAATCGGACCCTGTTTTTTGAGGGCTAAAATCAAGGCATCTGCAGGGCTGCGTTCCCTCTGGAGACCCAGGAGAATCAGTTCCTTGACTTTTCCAGCCTCTATAGGCCACCTGCATTCATGGCTCATGGCCTTCCTCCACCTTCAAAGCTGATGGAGACTTCCATTGCACTGCTCTAATCGCCACTCCCCTCTTCCTTCTCCTCTCATGTGCACCCTTGTGATTACACTGAGCCCAGCAGGACAGTCCAGGCTGTCTCCCCATCTCAAGGTCAACTCAACAACCTGAGCTCCATCTTCCCCTTCAGTGCCTTCCCCTATAACATAAATAGTCACAGACTGCAGGGATTAGAATGCAGTCATCATTGGGGACAATTATTCTTTCCACCACAGCACCCATTTCCCTGTATTCAATCCCCTTTTACCCCAAATACAGTTAGGGTCTGGATGATGGGACGCTGGTGGACACTCCCACCAGAAGCTCTGGGACTCAGGAGGTGGGACAAGGAGAATCCCAGACAGGAGCCCTCTGACCTGTGACCATGATCACCAGGGGGTTGCTGGGTGCTGACCACCCAGTGAGGAAGTGTGGGTGTGAACCCCGACATCTGTAGGTCCCTGCATGTGCTGGGGTCACAGGGCCTATGAAAACGGTGTTTCGGAATACTCTGTTGTAGAGCTCAGGGACAGGCATCCCGTCTTCTTTGGACAGACTGAATTCGTTAAACCCAAGACGAGAGCGACACTGAAGAGCCACATGTTCTCCTTCAGACACCACAGGGCTGGGCCAGGCAGAGAGGAAGGGCTTGTCCTGACCACCTGGGGGAGAAGGAGGCGCCACCTTAGAGAGGAGGATGTGGCACTCCCTCCCTCTATTCCTTTCCAGGACTCACCAACACACGCCATGCTGACGACCATGAGCGACATGGTGCTGCCGGTGCAGACAGGCGGCCGCGCCCCAGCTCAGCTCAGCAGCGCACAGGATGTTATTTGGCGCCCTGCCCATGCAGCTTACATGTTGACTACATCATGGGAGGGTGACGTACGCAGGCTCTTTCTACCTTGCATGAGGCCCAGTGGATGCTTGCTCAAGAGCGGAACACGGCTTCCTGGAAATTGTTCTCACTAGAATTGGCACCTCACGTCCTTCACTATGACCAACTCACAACACGTCTCAGATCCAACCTCCCGAACACAAGATGCCTAAAATCTGTGCTAACGTGAAAGACTTTTCATGTATTTTTATCCGAACACGAGATGCCTAAAATCTGTGCTAACATGAAAGACTTTTCATGTATTTTTTTTGTTTTTATCTGAGATTCAAACTCTTCTTCCTGTGTAATATGCAAAGTATCTAATAGGTATTATTAATGTTTTCGGAGTCATTGTGACTAATAAACCATTAGAATTTTTCATGCTTGTATTTCTAGTATTACAGCAGAACCAGCTAAAATGATTTAAATTCCCAGGGAAGGATTATGCAATTATTTACAATCTTAGAATTGTACTTTATCAGCAAAAACCACACCTGTAAATTCTGGAGTTTTGTAGTTTAATCTAAAATTTGTCTCATGACCCAAGATTCCAGAGTCCCAACTCTGGAGTTTGCTCTCTGTCTGTCTCTCTCCCTCCCTCGTTTTAAATTTTACAGAAATATCCAGTAACATAATGCTATAGAAAATCAAGTTTTCCCCAGCACGTTGGGAAGCCGAGGTGGGCGGATCAACTGAGATAAGGAGTTTGAGAGCAGCCTGGCCAATATAGTGAAACCGTGTCTCTGTTAAAAATCCAAAAATTAGCCGTGCCTGGTGGCAGGCACCTGTAACGCCAGCTACTCAAGAGGCTGAGGCACGAGAATCGCTTGAACCTGGGAGGCGGAGGTTGCAGTGAGCTGAGATTGTGCCACTGCAGTCCAGCCTGGGCGACAGAGCAAGACTCCGCCTCAAGAAAAAAAAAGCAAACAGCCTATAATAACAAATTAGAGGGCTCTGGCTACTAAATTTAAAGGGTTCTATAAGGCTACATAAAGTGCAGCATCATCAAGAGTGTGGACACAGAGAGCCCCTTAGCAGAAACAGTGTCTAAAATACATCCATGTACACACAGTCCCTTTAGAGTTGACAAAGGCTGCCGTGTGGTTTAAGGTGGCATAGAATGTCTTCTCAATAAATAATATTAAACCAATTGGTTACACCTAGGAAAAAATAAATCTAACTCACACTATAAAAACACTTCTTAGTTTTTATCTAGTTGTACATTTTTTATGATTTATATTTAAATTTGAGAAATAAAAGTCATATACGGTCATCCTTCACTATTCGTGGGTGATTGGTTTTGAGATCTCCACTCAGATACCAAAATCTGTAGATGCTCAAGCCTCTTATATGAAATGGCACAGCGTTTGCAAATAACCTATGCACATCCTCCTGTATACATGAAATCATCTCTAGATTACTTATAATTCCTGATACAGCCTACACACAGCTTCATTTGTGTCCATTCAACATAGTTATGCTTTTTGAAACTCTGTGGATACTTTCTCTCAATATTTTTGATTTATACTTGGTTCAATAAACACCTGTAAACCCCGCAGATATGGAGGAGTGACCGTATATTTATATTATGAAAGATGATGTGTTGATATGTGTCCCCATGGAGATGAGACTAACAAGGCCTATGATTCTACAAATGTTTCATTGTGGAATGACTCTGCCAGCTTTCCAGGTCTGCAGAGAGTAAGAGTATCACTTGTTCATATGATTCGTGATCCTTGGAACCTCCTATGTGCTACATCTTTGGATGGAAATTGGAGTCCCAGAGACAAATGAGGCTCCACCCTGCTTCCAGAAACTCAGAGTCCGGGGATGAGAACTCAGTGGGGAACAGATGGGATTATATGGACATGGTACTGATAACACCGGAAGCCTTAGGCAAGAAAAGAGTCCCATTACCGAAACCATGGGGGCAGACATGTTTATTTGAAGGATGGAAAACTACATTGAAGTTATTTTAAAAAATATATAAGTTTTACTGCTGACAGAAGACTGAAAGCTAGTCTGAGGGGAGGTGGAACAGCATGAGGGAAGGTGGAACAACACGTGTCTAAGTGCTGCGTTAAGAGGGAGCCTCTTGTATGTTTGGAATTGTGAGTTCCTCAGTGTGATTGCAGCCTCAAGTAGACTAGGAAGTAAGCCAGTTAGGTTGGAGAGGTGGGCAGGGGTCAAGTGAAATGGAGAACTGTGGGCTAAGCAAAGGAGTGTGTTTTTTCTCCAGCAGGCAGTGGGGACCTTAGACATTTGTAAGCAAGTGAGAGGCACATTCAGATTTGTGGTGTGAGGAAGATCGATGCCCTAAGATGCAGACTCATGCCTTCAGATTCCAGCTGCTGGTACATGGGAGCTGGCAACCCGGTTTTGAGACAGGGCTGTTGTCTCCCTAGAAGACGCCCTCAAGGCCTGACTGTGGTGCTCATGGGCAGGAGACAACTTTGGATCTGGACTCAGCATTTGGAAGTTCCGTGTACACGATGATATCTGTTGGGGGTGTCTTGGGCCTCTGAGAAGGGCGAGTGATTTTTCTCTGTGTGAAAACGCAGTGATTCAACTGTGTGTATGTCACCTCCTGAGGGTCTTGTTCATCAGAGTCCTGGAGAGAGGGAAATGCTGAGTGAGGGAGGGTGCTCACATTTTCCAGGACTCTTTGGGAATAACAGTAGCCACGAGCCCGGGCCGAGGAGTACCTACCTCGCTATTCGCTGTTCTGTTTCCTGCAGACTCTTGGTCCATTACCGCAGCATCTGTAGAAGACGGAAGTCAACAAAACAGCTCGGAGGGCACTTCTGGGTCCTCATTTCATAAGCAGATACCAACATACAGGGGGAGACCATAGGTGGCTGAGGTCCCTCAGTTGCCAACAGCAGACTCAGACATTCTATCTCTCTGAGCTCAAGGACCCATCCCATGAATAGCTCTGAGTTCCCATCCCATTGATTCTGTCTCCCACTTTCTGCCTGTCATGGAACCTTCTCCTGGATGTGAGTGGCTGCAGGGGACATGAGGATACAGTTCAGAATCAGGCAACGGTCTGTGAGTTGAAGGCAGGGACAGGGAGTCTGGTGCCCTCTCTAGAAAGTCCTGCCTCTGTGGCTGCTGCCTTGGGCCAGGGACCATCCTGTTTGTGAGGAACACACACCTGAGTGCTCCCATCCTGCTTCCCCACATGGCCCTGAGCTCTCTGGCCTCTGCTTCGTGAGACTTACTTTTTTTGTTGGAGCACCAGCGATGAAGGAGAAAGAAGAGGAGGATGAAGAGGATGATGACCACTGAGGTCCCAATCAGAATGTGCAGGTGTCGGGGGTTACCTGGAAGAAGATGAGACACCAATAAGAAGCTAATCTTAGCAGTTCCTCTTTATGAATTGTCTCGCATTTCTTGATTGACAGGTAACCACATAAAACACCTCTTTAGGACAAGCACCCAGATGGCAGGAGACCCAGCTTTCTCCTGCTTTTTCAGTTATAGCTCTCATAGTAACCATAGAACGTGCTGAGGATACGACTACTTTAGTTGAGATGTTTGACCCCTTCAAACCTCACATTGAAATTTCACCCCCACTGTGGGAGGTTGGGCCTCTTGAGAGGTGTTTGGGTCATGGAGGTGGATCCATCATGAACACATCAATGCTGTCCCAAGGAGACGGGGTTAGCAAGTTCCCCCTCTATTAGTTCCCGGAGAGCTGGTTGTTAAAAAGAGCTTGGAAGCTCCATCACTCCCCCTCCCCCTTGCTCCCTCTCTTGCCGTGTGATCTCTGTGGTCTCTGCACAGACAGACCCTCCTTCCCTTCTGCCAGAGTGGGAGCAGCCTGAGGCCGTCACGAGAAATAGATGCTGGTGCCATGCTTCCAGTACAGCCTGCAGAACGGTGAGGCAAACCAATCTCTTTTCTTTAGAAGTTACCGAGGCTCAAGTGTTCCTTTAGAGCAACAAAAATGGCCTAAGACAGCAACTTCCTGAGATCAGGAGGAACGTCTCAGAACACCCTGGGCTGTCTTCCTGTTCTTCCTGGAGGACGTCATGCAGTGCTTTAGCTGAGTGCTTCCTGTGGCTCCAGGGTACAAAACCCAGGCTGGGCTGCTTTCTGGCTTCCCCCAGCTACACTGCAAATGGGGTGACTCCATATGTCCCGAGCAGCTTTTCTGAGCCTTGAGGGACTGGGTCACATTGAAATATAGGTTTCTGTTGTCACTCGCTGCTTATCTGTTAGTAATGAACCTGCCTATGTAACGTATTCTCTGTGTGTTCTGTCTCCCTGGAGTGACGGTGAGTGATAGGAATTGGCATAGGCCCAGGTGCAGTCCAGGAGGTGTTTAGAGTCTTCTCTGGGAAGACTGGACTGGGATTGATTCACAGCGAATGTGCTTTAGGGTTTCTACATCCACAGCATTCTTGAATCAAACAACTTGCATTCTCCAAGGAAAGAAAACAAAAGTGAAATCAAGATAAAAAAAGCGAAATAGAATTCTCTTATGTCAAACGGCCAGGAAATAGTGTTGAAGCCCGTGTGAAACCTGCTGCTCTTTGTGATCTCGGGAGACACATATTAGGCTGCTGTTCTACCCGAGAGGCTGGGGGAAGGACCACCCCCTCGGCCATCTATTGCTTCAAAACCACCTGTCCTCCTGTGAATTAGTAGGAAAGGGGAGCAGGAGCTAGTGCTGTCGCTGATCTCTGATTCCAAGATCTGGACTCACTCCAAGGAGTGTTAATGTTTACCTCCCCATGGTCTATCTGAATCTCCACAGGTGATTGGAAGTAGGGGTGAGGTGGGGGATTTGGGTGAGTGGGCAAGTTTTTTTTGTGATGACCAGAGCACTTTCTCTATTCCAGGATCTGTGCTGGAGGATTCAGCGGGCTTTCACATTTTCTATATGATCTCATGCTCACAGAAAGCCAAATAGGGAAGAGGTTTTAGGCTCATTGCCTAATGGATAAGATAAAGGATCAAAGAAGTAATTATAGAGAAATAGAAAAATCATGATTGGAATTCAGGTGCCTTTGTCATTCGTGTGTGTTTTATTATATTTATGTATTTCTTATTTTTATTTTTTGAGATAGAGTCTCCTTGTGTCCCCCAGGCTGGAGTGCAGTGATGCAATCTCCACTCACTGCAACCTCCACCTACTGGGTTGAAGTCATTCTCCTGCTTCATCCTCCAGAATAGGAGCTGGGATTACAGGGATGCACCATCGTGCTCGGCTAATTTTTGTATTTTTAGTAGAGATAGGGTTTCACCACGTTGGCCAGGCTGGTCTGGAACTCCTGACTTCATGGAATCCACCCACCTTGGCCTCCTGCAGTGCTAGGTTACAGGTGTGAGCCACTGTTCACAGACTTGTATATTATGCTATAATAAGTCTCTTCATTTCCACCACCACTCATATATCTGTCACTCCTTTGCCAGGTATTGATTTATGTGTAGGATGAATAAATCTCAGAAAGAAATTAATTAAGTGAGGATTAAACAAGTAGGAAAATCAAACCCAGTAAGCCTTTCCAGTCAATGATTCTACCTCACAAACATATCTTATATCCATCTACTTCATTCATTTAGTGTCTAAATCAGCACCACATTTCACCAGTGGGGCGGCAATTGCCTTTTCCACGGTCTCCTAGATTCCAGTTATGCACCTGGGCCTCCCTTATTTTCATGTCAGTCATATTAATCATGTAGGGATTCCTGGTTACCCCGAGGTGAATCCAATGGCTGTGAGTGTCAAGCACACACTCCTTGTTCCTCCTTAGTTTCCTGTGTACCCAGTGTGCTCTCCGTCTCTCTACAGTCGTCTTGTCATTCTCCCCACCTCATTCCCAGCATTTGAGTCAGAGCCTCTTCCTTCCACATCAGATTGTTTTCACCTTTGTGCCTTCATGGCTGACAGCTGTGTGTGCAAAATCCTTCCGCCAATCTTTCAGGGGTTCATTCCGTGTTTTTCATTAATGTCACAAATATCTGAATAGTGAGACCTTCTTTGTCACCTGAAATCATACACTCAGCATTATCTATTATTGATTTTGAATTCTGGCTGGGCACAGTGGCTCACGCCTGTAGTCCCATTACTTTGGCATGCTGAGACGGTCGGATCACTTGAGGTTGGGAGTTTCAGACAAGCTTGGCCAACGTGGTGAAACATCCTCTCTACAAAAAATATACAAAAAGAATTAGCCGGGCACGGTGGCAGTTGCCTGTAATCCCAGCTACTCGAGAGGCGGAGGCAGGAGAATCCCTTGAATCCAGGAGACGCAGGTTGCAGTGAGCCAAGATCGTGACACTGCACTGTAGCCTGGAAGACAGAGGGCGACTCTGTCTCAATAAACAAAAGAACAAACAAAAAATAGATTTCATGCACAGATGCTTCCCAATGGACCATTCATTTATAGATCCACTTGTGCGTTCATTTTCTGCCCTCCCATTTAACCATCTGCAATATCAGTGTCCCAAGGGCAGAGGCCAAATGCATCTTGTTCACTGTTTGTGGAAGGCAGGAGAATGCTGTCCCACCCCAAAATGTCCCTGTCCTAGCCTCCACAGCTTGTGAATATGTTATTTTACATGGAAAGGAGGAATGAAGATTGCAGATGGAATTATGGTTGCTAATCAGCTGAACTTAAAACAAGGGTATCCTGGATGATTTCCAGGAGATTATGAGGGATTTTCATCTTGGTGAACCCAATAGAATCCCCAAGTTTTCAAAAGATGAGGAAGAAGGGAGAGCAGCACTCAGAGAAAGAGGTGTGGTAAGGAAGAAGGCACTGAGTGATGCCATGTGAGATGTGACCAGTCTTTGTGGGCTTTGAGGAAGGAGGAAGGGGACCAGGAGCCAAGGAACTGGGAGCCTTTAGAAGCTGGGACAAGTGAGAAGCAGATTCGTGCCTGGAATCCTCAGAGGGAAGGCAGCCTTGCTGTCACCTTGATTTTAGCCCAGTAAGATGCACTTCCTACTTTGAGCTACAGCACTGTAAGATAATTAAAAAACCGTTTTGTTTTCACCCACGAATCTTGTGGAAATTTGTTATGGCAACAATAGGAAAAGGTTCCACACTGCACAGCCTGAGCATGGGGCCGTGGCTGAATGAGTCAGTGAGTCGAAGTGTGCGTGCATGAGCTCTGTTCTCTGTTACGGCAAGGCTCTTTCTCTGCGGAGTCAGCCAGGGTTGCTTCATGACCTACAGGAGCTCATTCCTTGGCAAGTGGAACTTCTCTAAAACACCTTGCCCTCATCAGATGTTCCCTTCCCTTCCCTCTCTCAAGTCTCCAGGAATTTATCCTCCAGTGAGGAATGCAGGTAGAACAAACATTGCATTTTTCCTGAGAAGGATGTCAGATTGGCAATCATTCTTCTAGCTTGTAGGAGGTCTCAGCTCCATAAAATGAGAGATGAAGAGATTTCACTGAGCCCTGTGTTGGGCCCAGATCCCTTTCGCTGTAGGAGTATCTGGAGTTCGGAGATGGTGGAAGACAAGTGTACAATGTCAGAGCTGTGAGATGCTGAGTCAACGCCTGAATCCAAGGTTCCCACCTCCCCAGGGTTCCAAAAGCGGATATAAGAGGGTTCTGTACTCACCGGTTTTGGAGCTTGGTTCAGTGGGTGAAGGCCAACTATTTGAAGGGTTTCCTAGAACATGAGACAGGAGAGAGGTGAGGAAATGAGGGTGTCTGTCCTCCACTCAGTGGAAATCTTTGAGGATGGTTCATGGCCAACACTCTCTTATCTAATATTGGGCCCTGGGAGTCCTGGGATCCTTTTTTCCATAATTTTTTTATATGACACCCACTGTCTTGAGACTTCAAGATATAAAGAGAAAACAGGAGCATCACACTACCTGATCTCAAAATATGTTACAGAGCTGTAGTAAGCAAAATAGCATGACATTGGCATAAAGAAAGGCACATAGAACAACGGAGCAGAATGAATAACACAGATATATTCCATGCATTTACATCCAATGGTTTTTTATTTTTTCTTTTGAGATGGAGTCTTGCTCTGTCACTCAGGCTGGAGTGCAGAGGTGCAATCTCGGTTCACTGCAACCTCAGCCTCCTGGGTTCAATCATTCTCTTGCCTCAAATTCCTGAGTAGTGGTATTACAGGTGCTGACCACCATGCTCAGCTAATTTTTATATTTTTAGTGGAGACGATGTTTCATCACGTTGGCCAGACTAATCTTGAACTCCTGGCCTCAGGTGATCCACCCACCTCGGGCTCCCAAAGTGCTGAAATTGCAGGTGTTAGCCACCAAGCCCAGCCCATCCAATGGACTTTGACAAAGATGCCAAGAACTCACAATCAGGAAAGGACAGTCTTTTCAATAAACAGTGCAGGGAAACCTGGACATCTACATGCAGAGGAATGAAACTGCAACTCTACCTGTCACCATACACAAAAATCAAATGAAAATGGATTAAAGATGTGAGTCTAAGGCCTGAACCTATGAAACACGTAGAACAAAATATTGGGGAAATGCTCCAGGACGTTTGTCTGAAGGAAGACATTTTGTTTTAAACCTTCAAAACACAAGTAATCGAAGCAAAAATAGACCATTGGGATTACCTCAAACTAAGCAACTTCAGCACTGCTAAAAATAAACCAACAAAGTGAAGAGACAACCCACAGATTGGGAGCAAATATGTGCAAACTATGCATCTGAGATGGGATTAATAACTAGAAATATAAGAAGCTCAAACAACTCAATAAAACAAATGATTTAATTGAAAAAGGAGCAAAAGACATGAAATTTCCCCACATACGAAAAAGTGCTCAGTATCACTCATCATCAGAGAAACGCAAATTAAAATCAAAGTGAGTTTTCATCTCACCCCATTAAAATGGCTTTTAGGCCGGGTGAGGTGGCTCACTTGTGTCATCCTAGAACTTTGAGAACCTGAGGTGGGTGAATCTCATAAGGTTGGGAGTTTGAGACCAGTCTGACCCACATAGAGAAACGCTGTCTCTACTAAAAATACAAAAATTAGTAGGGCGTGGTGGCGTGTGCCTGTAATTCCAGCTACTCGGGAGGCTGAGGCAGGAGAATCGCTTGAACCTGGGAGGTGGAGGTTGTGGTGAGCCGAGATAGCGCCACTGCACTCCAGCCTGGGTGAGAAGAGCAAAACTCCATCTCAAAATAAAATGAAATAAAATAAAATGGCTTTTAGCTGCAAGACAGGCAAAAGAAATGCTGGCAAGGTGGTAGAGAAAGGAGAACCCTGGTACCCTGTTGGGAGGAGTGTAAATTAGTACAGCCATTACGGAGAAAAGTATGGAAGTCCTTTAAAGAACTAAAAAGAGGTTGGGTGAGGTGGATCATGCCTGTAATCCCGGCACTTTGGGAGACTGAGGCGGGCACCTCAGTTGAGGTCATGAGTTTGAGAGCAGCCCAGCCAACATGGGGAAACCGCATCTATACTAAAAAAACCAAAAAGTAGCCAGGCATGGTGGTGTGCACCTGTAATCCCAGCTACTAGGGAGGCTGAGGCAGGAAAATCATTTGAACCCAGGAGGCGGAGGTTGCAATGAGCCAAGGTTGCACCACTTTGACTCCAGCTTGGGCTAAGGAGGGAAACTCTTTCTCAAAAAAGAAAAAAAAAAAAAAAAAGAGAACTTTCATAGTATCCAGCAATTTCACTACTGGGTTTATATCCAAAGGAAAGTAAATCAACATATCGAAGTGATATCTGCACTCGTATGATTGGTGCAGCACTGTTCACAGTAGCCAAGATGAGGAGTCAACCTACCTGCCCATCAGTGGGTGAATGGATAGAGAGAATGTAGTACATACGCACAGTGGAGACTACTCATCCATAGAAAGAATAACATCCTGTCATTTGCAGCCACATGGATGGAACTGGAGGTCATTAAAAAGATTCCCATTTCTCACCCATATACAGGAGCTAAAAGGTGGATCTCATGAAGGTAGAGAGTAGAATGGTGGCTACTGGAGGACAGGAAGAAAAGGGTGGAGGGTAAAAAAAATGTATATATATATATATATAAAAATGTATTTATGACCACTAGACTTTACACTTAAAAATGGTAAATGTGGCTGGGCCTGGTGGCCCATGCCTGTAATCCCAGCACTTTGGGAGGCTGATGCGGGTGGATCACGTGGTCAGGAGTTCGAGACCAGCTCGACCAACATGGTGAAACCACCTCTCTACTAAAAATACAAAAAGTAGCCTGGCGTGGTGGTGCGTGCCTGTAGCACTAGCTACTCAGGTGGCTGAGGCAGGAGAATCGCTTGAACCCAGGAGGCGGAGGTTGCAGTGAGCTGAGATTGTGCCACTGCACTCCATCATAGGGGACAGAGCTAGACTCCACCTCAAAAAAAAATGTTAAAAGTGGTAAGCTATATAGGTATATTTATCCTCAATAAATATTTCTTCAAAGAAAAGTAAAGGGTGTAGGGGTTGCTGGTGATGACATCTCTGTGTGGGTGAGAGGCCAGGATGGGCTTCTGGGAAATGGGTAAGGTTGAGGGGCTGAGGGAACCTCTGATCTCCCCAAACTGAGCCCAGTCTCCCTCCTCTGGGTCTCTCCTGACCGCTTTCTCCATCTGCCTGGGTGCCTGGAGCCCTGGCCGTGGGCCTCCATGCAGGCCATGTAGGAGGGTTTGGAGGTGCCCTGTCGGCCATCCTGTGCCCTGATCCCTCCCTCACACCGAGGCTGCGTCTTCTCTCTGCATCTGTCCATGCTTCTCTCCATCCTCAGCAGGAAGCTCCTCAGCTAAGGCTCTAGGATCATAGGACATGGGACAGCCATGGGCTTTCCTCACCTGTGACAGAAACAAGCAGTGGGTCACTTGACTTTGACCACTCGTATGGAGAGTCATGGAAAGAGCCGAAGCATCTGTAGGTCCCTCCGTGGGTGGCAGGGCCCAGAGGAAAGTCAGCCTGGAATGTTCCGTTGACCTTGGGCCCTGCAGGGAGCCTACGTTCATGGGCCTCCCCTTCCCTGGATAGATGGTACATGTCATAGGAGCTCCGGGAGCTGCAGGACAAGGTCACATTCTCTCCTGCCAGAACCGTGGGGCCCGGCTGGGCTGAGAGAGAAGGTTTCTCATATAGACCTGGAAGGAGAAGAGGCAGTTTCCTCAGGGAGGATCTTCTTTGTCACAGCTCCCTTCACCTGAGCTGAGAACTCACTCCCCTGTTCTATGACCTAATGCTCTCTCTCTCTCTCTCTCACCCTCTACCCCATCGCTCTTCATGTCTATTTCCTCCTTCCACCTTCTCTGTCTCTCTAGGTCTCTGACCTCACTTCCCCACCTCTAGATATGTTTTCTCTTTTTGGATTGTTTTATTCTCTCTGACTCTCCTTGGATTGGTTGACTTGATGTTACTTTTTTTAATTCTGAGTTTCTCACTTTGTGTCCTGTTCATAACTTTCTGCATATTTCTATCTATTATCTATCGATCTATCTATTTATCTATTCGGTGCCTATCTACAAATTCTCTACCTGTCATCTATATCTATATATCATCTATTTATCCATCAATTGTCTATCTATCCATCAATCATCTATTATCTATATCTATGTATCATCTCTCTCTCTCTATGATTTCTCTATGTCTGCCTCTGTATCTCTATGTATTATCTATCTATCTGTCTTCATCATCATCATCTCTATGTCTCATCTATTAATGAATCAATCAATCATCATCTATGTATCTATAACCTATTATCTATCATCTACCTATTTATCATCTATCTATATCTATCCATCTATCATCTGTCTTGCTCTGCCTCTCGGTCTCTCTAGTTCTCTTTGGAATCTCTGCAATTCATCCCCACATCTCCATCTTTCAATGTCCTTGTGCCTCTCCCTCAGGAGTCTAATTTTAGTGCTTTTCTCTGCTCCCTTCCATCATTCTCACTTCTCTGCCCTCTTTTCTCTCTCTTTATGTGTCTGTGAGTCTCTCAATCTCCTTCCTCTGGCTCATTCTCTGTGTGTTTATGTCTTTGCTTTTTGGTGTCCCTGATTTCTCTCTGTGCCTCTCACTGATCCTCTCATAAGTGGGCTTATTTGGAATATGAGCCTCAGAATCCAGTCTGGAGACTACAAGTTCACACAGCATACAGGGGTTGGTGTTGTGGGGCCATGATATCCTGGGACGATTACTCTCCATTACATGGAAGGCAGAGGTGTCAGAATAAACATGGCATCTGTAGGTGCCACAAGGCCTGAGGCCACAGGGCCCAACTCAGGTCAGAAATATGGGTGTCCTTGGGTTCTCCTGGTAGAGAACACTTTGTGGAGGTAAAACAGAAATGAAACTTCTAACCTGTGCCAGGTCTCTGAGCAAAGTCAGCATGGAGGGACACCTCTCTCTGGGACATGTCTGTCTGTGTGTCTCCTTTAACTCTTTCTGTCTTTTCTAACTCCCGGTATGGCCCCTGTGTCTGTTCTCTGTTATGACACCTGGTCTGTACTTGTGTCTCCTGTTTCTCTGTCTCTGTTGGCACAGACCTCACCAAGTCAGTCTCTCTCCATAAGAATACCAAGCTCATCTTCCTTACAGCCACCTGGGTCTCCAATTCCTGGATCATTCACTCTGCATCCCAATGACAATGAGAAGAAAGTCTGGACACTCTCACCTATGATCACGATGTCCAGAGGGTCACTGGGAGCTGACACCTGATAGGGGGAGTGAGTAACAGAACCGTAGCATCTGTAGGTCCCTGCCAGGTCTTGCGTCATGCGACTGATGGAGAAGTTGGCCTTGGAGACCCCATCATGGTGTTCTCCAATGAGGCGCAAAGTGTCGTTAAACATCCCCTCTCTGTGCAGAAGGAAGTGTTCAAACATGACATCTGACCAACATTGCAGGATGACTGTCTCTTCTGATTTCACCAGGGGACCTGGGTGGGCCAGGAGGGAAGGTTTTCTGTGGACTCCTAGGAAGAGAGGTTGTGAGTTTAGAAGGTGTCTCTCTTTATCATCCCATCCATGGCACCTGGATTGAGTCAGGCTTCCCCTTCCTGGTGTCTTATCTCTCTCCTTCCTCTCTGTGTCTTCATGTTCTTTTCTGTGCCCATAACTCCTGGTGCAGGTCCTTCCATCTGTCTCCCTCACTCTTCTCTGTCCCTCTGTCTCTAGTAGCCTCTGATTCCCTTGCCGCTGGGCTCAGCCTCATCTCTTGGGCTGTTGTATCTATTTCGAACTAATGTCTTTCCTGCTGTCTATGTGGGGGTGGAAGAGGAACCAGGATAGGCTGCACATCCAGGCTCTTAGCAGCCTGGTTCAATCTCTTTTGGACGAATTGGAATCCTTGGCAGGAGGTATGAACTGATCAGTAAGGCAGGCACCAGTGGCCACACACCCTGTTCCTGGTAGGGACTGGGAGCCACTCTTGCCATGCCAGTGCCAGCTTCCATAGGCTGGCTCCTGGTGCTGGTTGGAGGAGTATCAACCGCTCCCTATGTGGATGGAGCCTGGTGGTGGCATCATCATCTGAGCCTTGCTGATCTCAGTGTAGCCAACCTTCTCCTTGTTTGGTTTCTTTAATTAATTAATTAATTTTGGCGACAGAGTCTCACTCCTTTGCCCAGGCTGGAGTGAAGTGGTGTGGTCTAGGCTCACTGCAACCTCTGTCTCCTGGGTTCAAGTGATTCTCCTGCCCTCAGCCTCCCAAGTCGCTAGGATTACATGCACCTGCCACCATGCCTGGCTATCCTTGTGTTGTTTCTTAACTTGTCCTTGACCTGGGTTCCAGTGTTGGTTTCCTGTTGCTGCTGTAGAAAATTATCAGAAGCATGGCACCAGGAGAGAGCACACTAACCCCTTCCAATTCTGGAGACAGAAATCGGACCCTGTTTGTCGTGGGTAAAATCAAGGCACCTGCAGGGCTTCGTTCCCTCTGGAGACTCAGGAGAATCAGTTCCTTGACTTTTCCAGCCTCTATAGGCCACCTGCATTCATGGCTCCTGGACTTCCTCCACCTTCAAAGCTGGTGGAGTCTCCCATTGCGCTGCTGTAATCCCCACTCCCCTCTTCCTCCTCCTTTCATGTGGACCCCTGTGACTACACTGAGCCCATCAGGACAGTCCAGGCTGTCTCCCCATCTCAAGGTCAACTCATCAACAACCTGAGCTCCATCTTCTCCTTCAGTCCCTTCCCCTATATCATAAATAGTCACAGACTCCAGGGATTAGAATGTAGTCATCACTGGGGACAATTATTCTTCCCACCACAGCACCCATTTCCCTGTATTCAATCCCCCTTTACCCCAAATACAGTCAGGACTTGCATGATGGGACCCGCAAGGACACGCCCACCAGGAGCTCTGGGATTCAGGAGGTGGGACAAGGAGAATCCCAGACAGGAGCCCTCTGACCTGTGACCGTGATCTCCAGGGGGTTGCTGGGTGCCGACCACCCACTGGGGTAGTGTGGTTGTGAACCCCGACATGTATAGGTCCCTGCGTGTGCTGGGGTCACAGGGCCCATGAAAAGGCTGTTCCAGAATATTATGTTGTAGAGCTCAGGGACAGGCACCCCATCTTCCTTTTACAGACTGAAGTTGTTAAACCCAAGATAAGAATGACACTGAAGAATCACATGTCCTGGAGGCACCACAGGGCTTGGCCAGGCAGACAGCAAGGGCTTGTCCTGACCACCGTGGGGAGAAGGAGGCACCGCCTTAGAGAGGAGGATGTGGAGCCGCCCCTCCCTCCCTGTGCTCTGAAGATTCTCCTCGCTTTCCAAGTTTCTATGGCTGCTATCACACCTTGGTGCCCAGGGCTAAAGGAAGGACCCATCCCGCAAACACAAGGTGTCTCCCTACAACAAAAGTGTCAGCTGAGAACTTTGAGCAAGTGCTGAGTAAGAGACTCCTACTAGATTTTAATACTGTAAGATTACTCACATAAAACAACACAGGGTAGACATGGGGTGGAGGGCATGTCCTTTGAGAATGGAATATCAGCCGATGCCTGAACGAAAATAAACAACTGAGTCCCCATCAGAGGATTGGAATGTCAGGGCCATGGCTGTGGTTTTCCCACCTCTTCTGGTAGAATGACAGCAGCCACACTGCAGCCCCTACCGTCATGGAAACGCTGAAGTGTGTGAGTAACACCTTTGTCCTCAGAGGATCTGCTGTTCCTACCACTTCCCCACCACACACCCCAGCTTTGAGCACCGTAGTCTAACCCTGGTCCCCACAGAACTTGACTCTGCCAAGGGAATGAAAGGCCAGGGAGGCAAGGTCAGAAATGTGGGCCCAGCACCCCAGGGTCCCTTCTTCCTAGTTTATGAGAGACTCCCTGACAGGACTTCCCTCCCATTTCAGGAAAATCCTCTTATGTGGGGAGATGACACCCGAAGGTTTGGAGAAGGACTCACCCTCATGTGGCCAGGCCCCCTGCAGCAAGAAGAACCCTGGAAAGAAAGATCATGATGGATGACCCATCTGCAGGCAAACCAGGGCACCCTTGCTGCCCCCACTGGGCTGTGAGTCTTGGTAGCCAGGCCCTTCCTGGGCTGAAGGTAAACTCACCCTCAGTGCCTACCTGCACCCAAGAACAGGGCTGTCGGCTGTGCAGAGACCCAGCCTCCAGGTCCATATCCCCACCTCAAGCCCATATCTCCACTCCAGGCCCATATCTCCACTCCAGGCCGATATTTCCACCCTAAGCCCATATCGCCAATCCAGGCCCATATCTCCAATCCAGGCTCAGATCTCCACCCTGGGCCCATATCTCCAATCCAGGCCCTTATCTCCACTCCAGGTCCATATCTCCTCTCCAGTCCCATATCTCCACTCCAGGCCCATATATCCTCTCCAGTCCCATATCTCCACACCCAGGCCCGTATCTCCATCCTAGGCACATATCTCCTCTCCAGGCCCAGATATCGACCTCTAGGCCCATATCTCCACTCCTGGCCCATATCTCCACTCCAGGCCCAGATATCGACCTCTAGGCCCATATCTCCACTCCTGGCCCATATCTCCACTCCAGGCCCATGTCTCCACTTCAGGCCCATATCTCTACTGCAGGCCCGTAACTCCACCTCCAGGCCCATGACTCCACTCCAGGCCCATATCTCCACCTCCAGGCCCATATCTCCCCTCCAGGTTCCTATCTCCCCTCCAGGTTCCTATCTCCACTCCAGGCCCAGATCTCCACTACAGTCCCATCACTCCACCTCCAGGCCTATATCTCGACCTCTGGGCCCAGATCTCCACTTCTAGGCCCATCACTCCATCTCTAGGCCCATATATCCACTCCAGGCCCAGATCTCCACTCCAGGCCCATAACTCCACCTCCAGGCCTATATCTCCACCTCTGGGCCCAGATCTCCATCCCCTCACTCCCTCCCTCTATTGCTTTCCAGGACTCACCAACACACGCCATGCTGACGAACAAGAGCGACATGGTGCTGCCGGAGCAGACAGGCAGCCGCGACCGAGCTCAGCTCAGCAGCGCACAGGATGTTATTTGGCGCCCTGCCCATGCAGTTTACATGTTGACCACATCATGGGAGGGTGACGTACGCAGGCTCTTTCTACCTTGCATGAGGCCCAGTGGGTGCTCGCTCAAGAGCGGAACACGGCTTCCTGGAAATTGTTCTCGCTAGAATTTGACACCTAGTGTCCTTCACTATGACCAACTCAAAACACGTCTGAGATCCAACCTCCCGAACACGAGATGCCTAAAATCTGTGCTAACATGAAAGACTTTTCATGTATTTCTATTGTTTTTATCTGAGATTCAAACTCTTCTTCCTGTGTAATATGCAAAATATCTAATAGGTATTATTAATGTTTTCAGAGTCATTGTGACTAACAAACCATTAGAATTTTTCATGCTTGTATTTCTAGTATTACAGCAGAACCAGTTAAAATGATTTAAATTCCCAGGGAAGGATTATGCAATTATTTACAATCTTAGAATTGTACTTTATCAGTAAAAACCCCACCTGTAAATTCTGGAGTTTTGTAGTTTAATCTAAAATTTGTCTCATGACCCAAGATTCCAGAGTCCCAACTCTGGAGTTTGTTTTCCGTCTGTCTCTCTCCCTCCCTCATTTTAAATTTTACAGAAATATCCAGTAACATAATGCTATAGAAAATCAAGTTTCCCCAGCACGTTGGGAAGCCGAGGTGGGCGGATCAACTGAGATAAGGAGTTTGAGAGCAGCCTGGCCAATATAGTGAAACCGTGTCTCTGTTAAAAATCCAAAAATTAGCCGTGCCTGGTGGCAGGCACCTGTAACGCCAGCTACTCAAGAGGCTGAGGCACGAGAATCGCTTGAACCTGGGAGGCAGAAGTTGCAGTGAGCTGAGATTGTGTCACTGCAGTCCAGCCTGGGCGACAGAGCAAGACTCCGCCTCAAGAAAAAAAAGCAAATAGCCTATAATAACAAATTAGAGAGCTCTGGCTACTAAATTTAAAGGGTTCTATAAGGCTACATAAAGTGCAGCATCATCAAGAGTGTGGACACAGAGAGCCCCTTAGCAGAAACAGTGTCTAAAGTACATCCGTGTACACACAGTCCCTTTAGAGTTGACAAAGGCTGCCGTGTGGTTTAAGGTGGCATAGAATGTCTTCTCAATAAATAATATTAAACCAATGGGTTATACCTAGGAAAAAATAAATCTAACTCACACTATAAAAACACTTCTTAGTTTTTATCTAGTTGTACATTTTTTATGATTTATATTTAAATTTGAGAAATAAAAGTCATATACGGTCATCCTTCACTATTCCTGGGTGATTGGTTTCGAGATCTCCACTCAGATACCAAAATCTGTAGATGCTCAAGCCTCTTATATGAAATGGCACAGAGTTTGCAAATAACCTATGCACATCCTCCTGTATACATGAAATCATCTCTAGATTACTTATAATTCCTGATGCAGCCTACACACAGCTTCATTTGTGTCCATTCAACACAGTTCTGCTTTTTGTAACTCTGTGGATACTTTCTCTGAATATTTTTGATTTATACTCGGTTCAATAAAGAACTGTAAACCCCACAGATATGGAGGAGTGACTGTATATTTATAGTGTGAAAGATGATGTGTTGATATGTGTCCCTGTGTAGATGAGACTAACAAGGCCTATGACTCTACAAATGTTTCATCTTGGAATGACTCTGCCAGATTTCCAGGTCTGCAGAGAGTAAGAATATCACTTGTTCATGTGATTCACGATCCTTGGAACCTCCTATGTGCTACATCTTTGGATGGAAATAGGAGTCCCAGAGACAAATGAGGCTCCACCCTGCTTCCAGAAACTCAGAGTCCGGGGGTGAGAACCCAGTGGAGAACAGATGGGGTTATGTGGACATGGTAATGATAACACTGGAAGTCTTAGGCAAGAAAAGAGTCCCATTACCGAAACCATGAGGGCAGACATGTTTATTTGAAGGAGGGAAAACTACATTGAAATTATTTTAAAAAATATATAAGTTTTACTGCTGACAGAAGGCTGAAAGATACTCTGAGGGGAGGTGGAACAGCATGAGGGAAGGTGGAACAGGACGTGTCTAAGTGCCGTGTTAAGAGGGAGCCTCTTGTATGTTTGGAACTGTGAGTTCCTCAGTGTGATTGCAGCCTCAAGTAGACTAGGAAGTAAGCCAGTAAGGTTGGAGAGGTGGGCAGGGGTCAAGTGAAATGGAGAATTGTGGGCTAAGCAAAGGAGTGTGTTTTCTCTCCAGCAGGCAGTGGGGACCTTAGACATTTGTAAGCAAGAGAGAGGCACATTCAGATTTGTGGTGTGAGGAAGAGCGATGCCCTAAGATGCAGACTCACGCCTTCAGATTCCAGCTGCTGGTACATGGGAGCTGGCAACCCGGTTTTGAGACAGGGCTGTTGTCTCCCTAGAAGATCCCCTCAAGGCCTGACTGTGGTGCTCATGGGCAGGAGACAACTTTGGATCTGGACTCAGCATTTGGAAGTTCCGTGTACACTCTGGTATCTGTTGGGGGTGTCTTGGGCCTCTGAGAAGGGCGAGTGATTTTTCTCTGTGTGAAAACGCAGTGATCCAACTGTACGTATGTCACCTCCTGAGGGTCTTGTTCATCAGAGTCCTGGAGAGAGGGAAATGCTGAGTGAGGGAGGGTGCTCACGTTTTCCAGGACTGTTTGGGAATAACACTAGCCACGAGGCTGGGCCGAGGAGCACCTACCTCGCTATTCGCTGTTCTGTTCCCTGCAGGCTCTTGGTCCATTACAGCAGCATGTGTAGGAGACGGAAGTCAACAAAAGAGCTCGGAGGGCACTTCTGGGTCCTCATTTCATAAGCAGATACCAACAAACAGGGGGAGGCCATAGGTGCCTGAGGTCCCTCAGTTGCCAACAGCAGACTCAGACATTCTATCTCTCTGAGCTCAAGGACCCATCCCATGAATAGCTCTGAGTTCCCATCCCATTGATTCTGTCTCCCACTTTCTGCCTGTCATGGAACCTTCTCCTGGATGTGAGTGGCTGCAGGGGACATGAGGATACAGTTCAGAATCAGGCAACGGTCTGTGAGCTGAAAGCAGGGACAGGGAGTCTGGTGCCCTCTCTAGAAAGTCCTGCCTCTGTGGCTGCTGCCTTGGGCCAGGGACCATCCTACCTGTGAGGAACACACACCTGAGTGCTCCCATCCTGCTTCCCCACATGGCCCTGAGCTCTCTGGCCTCTCCTTCGTGAGACTTACTTTTCTTGTTGGAGCACCAGCGATGAAGGAGAAAGAAGAGGAGGAGGATGAAGAGGATGATGACCACTGAGGTCCCAATCAGAACGTGCAGGTGTCTTGGGTTACCTGGAAGAAGATGAGACACCAATAAGAAGCTAATCATAGCAGTTCCTCTTTATGAATTGTCTCGCATTTCTTGATTGACAGGTAACCACGTAAAACACCTCTTTAGGACAAGCACCCAGATGGCGGGAGACCCAGCTTTCTCCTGCTTTCTCAGTTATAGCTCTCAAAGTAACCATAGAATGTGCTGAGGATACAACTACTTTAGTTGAGATGTTTGACCCCTTCAAACCTCACATTGAAATTTCACCCCCATTGTGGGAGGTTGGGCCTCTTGAGAGGTGTTTGGGTCATGGAGGTGGATCCATCATGAACAGATCAATGCTGTCCCAAGGAGACGGGGTTAGCTAGTTCCCCCTCTATTAGTTCCCAGAGAGCTGGTTGTTCAAAAGAACTTGGAAGCTCCATCGCTCCCCCTCCCCCTTGCTCCCTCTCTTGCCGTGTGATCTCTGTGGTCTCTGCACAGACAGACCCTCCTTCCCTTCTGCCAGAGTGGGAGCAGCCTGAGGCCATCACGAGAAATAGATGCTGGTGCCATGCTTCCAGTACAGCCTGCAGAACGGTGAGGCAAACCAATCTCTTTTCTTTAGAAGTTGCCCAGGCTCAAGTGTTCCTTTAGAGCAACAAAAATGGACTAAGACAGCAACGTCCTGAGATCAGGAGGAACGTCCCAGAGCAGCCTGGGCTGTCTTCCTGTTCTTCCTGGAGGAGGACGTCATGCAGTGCTTTAGCTGAGTGCTTCCTGTGGCTCCAGGGTACAAAACCCAGGCTGGGCTGCTTTCTGGCTTCCCCCAGCTACACTGCAAATGGGGTGACTCCATATGTCCCGAGCAGCTTTTCTGAGCCTTGAGGGACTGGCTCACATTGAAATGTAGGCTTCTGTTTTCACTCGCTGCTTATCTGTTAGTAATGAACCTGCCTATGTAACGTATTCTCTGTGTGTTCTGTCTCCCTGGAGTGACGGTGAGTGATAGGAATTGGCGTAGGCCCAGGTGCAGTCTAGGAGGTGTTTAGGGTCTTTTCTGGGAAGACTGCACTGGGATTGACACACAGCGAATGTGCTTTAGGATTTCTACATCCACAGCATTCTTGAGTCAAACAACTTGCGTTCTCCAAGGAAAGGAAACAAAAGTGAAATCAAGATAAAAAAGCGAAATAGAGTTATCTTATGTCCAACAGCCAGGAAATCGTGTTGAAGCCCCTGTGAAACGTCCTACTCTTTGTGATCTCGGGAGACACATGTTAGGCTGCTGTTCTACCTGAGAGGCTGGGGGAAGGACCACCCCCTCCACCATCTATTGCTTCAATACCACCTGTCCTCCTGTGAATTAGTAGGAAAGGGGAGCAGGAGCTAGTGCTGGTGCTGATCTCTCATTCCAAGATCTGGACTCACTCCAAGGAGTATTAATGTTTACCTCCCCATGGTCTATCTGAATCTCCACAGGTGATTGGAAGTAGGGGTGAAGTGGGGGATTTGAGTGAGAGGGCAAGTTTTTTTTGTGATGAACAGAGCACTTTCTCTATTCCACGATCTGTGCTGGAGGATTCAGCGGGCTTTCACATTTTCTATATGGTCTCATGCTCACAGAAAGCCAAATACGGAAGAGGTTTTAGGCTCATTGCCTAATGGATAAGACAAAGGATCAAAGAAGTAATTATAGAGAAATACAAAAATGATGATTGGAATTCAGGTGCCTTTGTCATTCGTGTGTGTTTTATTATATTTATGCATTTCTTATTTTTATTTTTTGAGACGGAGTCTCCTTGTGTCACCCAGGCTGGAGTGCAGTGATGCAATCTCCACTCACTGCAACCTCCACCTCCTGGGTTGAAGTTGTTCTCCTGCTTCATCCTCAAGAGTAGGAGCTGGGATTACAGGGATGCACCACCATGCTCGGCTAATTTTTGTATTTTTCATAGAGACAGGGTTTCACCATTTTGGCCAGGCTGGTCTGGAACTCCTGACTTCAAGTGATCCACCCGCCTTGGCCTCCTGCAGTGCTGGGAATTGCCTTTTCCACGGCCTGAGCATGGGGCCGTGGCTGAATGAGTCAGTGAGTCGAAGTGTGCGTGCATGAGCTCCGTTCTCTGTTAAGGCAAAGCTCTTGCTCTGCTGAGTCAGCCAGGGTTGCTTCATGACCAACAGTAATTCATTCCTGGGCAAGTGGAACTTCTCTAAAACACCTTGCCCTCATCAAATGTTCCCTACCCTTCCCTCTCTCAAGCCCCCAGGAATTTATCCTCCAGTTAGGAATGCAGGCAGAACAAACATTGCATTTTTCCTGAGAAGGATGTCAGATTGCCAATCATTTTTCTAGCTTGTAGGAGATCTCAGCTCCATAAAATGAGAGATTAAGAGATTTCACTGAGCCCTGTTTTGGGTCCAGATCCCTTTCGCTGTTGGAGTATCTGGAGTTCGGAGATGGTAGAAGACAGGCGTACAATGTCAGAGCTGTGAGATGCTGAGTCAACGCCTGAATCCAAGGTTTCCACCTCCCCAGGTTTCCAAAAGCGGATATAAGAGGGTTCTGTACTCACCGGTTTTGGAGCTTGGTTCAGTGGGTGAAGGCCAACTATTTGAAGGGTTTCCTAGAACACGAGACAGGAGAGAGGTGAGGAAATGAGGGTGTCTGTCCTCTACTCAGTGGAAATCTTTGAGGTTGGTTCATGGCCAACACTCTGTTATCTAATATTGGGCCCTGGGAGTCCTGGGATCCTTTTTTCCGTAATTTTTGTATGTGACGGCTACTGTCTTGAGACTTCAAGGTATAAAGAGAAAACAGGAGCATCACACTACCTGATCTCAAAATATGTTACAGAGCTGTAGTAAGCAAGACAGCATGACGTTGGCATGAAGAAAGGCACATAGAACAACGGAGCAGAATGAATAACACAGATATAATCCATGCATTTACCTCCAATGTATTTTTTGTTTTTCTTTTGAGATGGAGTCTTGCTCTGTCACCCAGGCTGGAGTGCAGAGGTGCAATCTCGGTTCACTGCCACCACAGCCTCCTGGGTTCAATCACTTCTCTTGCCTCAAACTCCTGAGTAGTGGTATTACAGGTGCTGACCACCATGCTCAGCTAATTTTTATATTTTTAGTGTAGACGATGTTTCATCACGTTGGCCAGACTAATCTTGAACTCTTGGCCTCAGGTGATCCACCCACCTCGGGCTCCCAAAGTGCTGAAATTGCAGGTGTCAGCCACCATGCCCAGCCCATCCAATGGACTTTGACAAAGGTGCCAAGAACTCACAATCAGGAAAGGACAGTCTTTTCAATAAACAGTGCAGGGAAACCTGGACATCTACATGCAGAGGAATGAAACTGCACCTCTGCCTGTCACTATACACAAAAATCAAATGAAAATGGATTAAAGATGTGAGTCTAAGGCCTGAACCTATGAAACACGTAGAAGAAAATATTGGGGAAATGCTCCAGGACGTTTGTCTGAAGGAAGACATTTTGTTTTAAACCTTCAAAACACAAGTAATCGAAGCAAAAATAGACCATTGGGATTACCTCAAACTAAGCAACTTCTGCACCGCTAAAAATAAACCAACAAAGTGAAGAGACAACCCACAGATTGGGAGCAAATATGTGCAAACTATGCATCTGAGATGGGATTAATAACTAGAAATATAAGAAGCTCAAACAACTCAATAAAACAAATGATTTAATTGAAAAAGGAGCAAAAGACATGAAATTTCCCCACATACGAAAAAGTGCTCAGTATCACTCATCATCAGAGAAACGCAAATTAAAATCAAAGTGAGTTTTCATCTCACCCCATTAAAATGGCTTTTAGGCCGGGCGTGGTGGCTCACGTCTGTCATCCTAGAACTTTGAGAGCCTGAGGTGGGTGAATCTCATAAGGTCGGGAGTTTGAGACCAGTCTGACCCACATGGAGAAACACTGTCTCTACTAAAAATACAAAAATTAGTCGGGCGTGGTGGCGTGTGCCTGTAATTCCAGCTACTCGGGAGGCTGAGGCAGGAGAATCGCTTGAACCTGGGAGGTGGAGGTTGTGGTGAGCCGAGATCGCACCACTGCACTCAGCCTGGGTGACAAGAGCGAAACTCCATCTCAAAATAAAATGAAATAAAATAAAATGGCTTTTAGCTGCAAGACAGGCAAAAGAAATGCTGGCAAGGTGTTAGAGAAAGGAGAATCCTGGTATCCTGTTGGTAGGAGTGTAAATTAGTACAGCCATTACGGAGAAAAGTGTGGAAGTCCTTTAAAGAACTAAAAAGAGGTTGGGTGAGGTGGATCATGCCTGTAATCCCGGCACTTTGGGAGACCGAGGCGGGCACCTCAGTTGAGGTCATGAGTTTGAGAGCAGCCCAGCCAACATGGGGAAACCGCATCTATACTAAAAAAAACAAAAAGTAGCCAGGCATGGTGGCGTGCGCCTATAATCCCTGATACTAGGGAGGCTGAGGCAGGAAAATCATTTGAACCCAGGAGGCAGAGGTTGCAATGAGCCAAGATGACATCACTTGTACTCCAGCCTGGGCACAGAGGGAAACTGTCTCAAAAACAAAAACAAAACAACAAACGAAAAACTAAAAAGAGAACTTTCATAGTATCCAGCAATTTCACTACTGGGTTTATATCCAAAGGAAAGTAAATCAATATATCGAAGTGATATCTGCACTCGTATGATTGGTGCAGCACTCTTCACAGTAGCCAAGATGAGGAGTCAACCTACCTGCCCATCAGTGGGTGAATGGATAGAGAGAATGTGGTACATTTGCATAGTGGAGACTACTCTTCCATAGAAAGAAAAACATCCTGATATTTGCAGCCACATGGATGGAACTGGAGGTCATTACAAAGATTCCCATTTCTTACCCATATACAGGAGCTAAAAGGTGGATCTCATGAAGGTAGAGAGTAGAATGGTGGCTACCAGAGGCCAGGAAGAAAAGGGTGGAGGGTAAAAAAAAATATGTGTATATATATATATATTAATGTATTTATGACCACTAGACTTTACACTTAAAAATGGTAAATGTGGCTGGGCGTGGTGGCTCATGCCTGTAATCCCAGCACTTTGGGAGGCTGATGCGGATGGATCACGTGGTCAGGAGTTCCAGACCAGCTTGACCAACATGGTGAAACCCCCTCTCTACTAAAAATACAAAAAGTAGCCTGGCATGGTGGTGCACGCCTGTAGCACCAGCTACTCAGGTGGCTGAGGCAAGAGAATCGCTTGAACCCAGGAGGCGGAAGTTGCAGTGAGCTGAGATTGTGCCAATGCACTCCAGCATAGGGGACAGAGCTAGACTCCGCCTCAAAAAAAAAATGTTAAAGGTGGTAAGCTATATAGGTATATTTATCCTCAATAAATATTTCTCAAACAAAAGTAAAGGGTGTAGGGGTTGCAGGTGATGACATCCCTGTGTGGGTGGGAGGCCAGGATGGGCTTCTGGGAAATGGGTAATGTTGAGGGGCTGAGGGAACCTCTGATCTTCCCAAACTGAGCCCAGTCTCCCTCCTCTGGGTCTCTCCTGACCGCTTTCTCCATCTGCCTGGGTGCCTGGAGTCCTGGCCGCAGGCCTTCATGCAGGCCATGTAGGAGGGTTTGGAGGTGCCCTGTCTGCCATCCTGTGCCCTGATCCCTCCCTCACACCCAAGCTTCGTCTTCTCTCTGCATCTGTTCATCCTTCTCTCCATCCTCAGCAGGAAGCTCCTCAGCTAAGGCTCTAGGATCATAGGACATGGGACAGCCATGGGCTTTCCTCACCTGTGACAGAAACAAGCAGTGGGTCACTCGAGTTTGACCACTCGTAGGGAGAGTCACGGAAAGAGCCGAAGCATCTGTAGGTTCCTCCGTGGGTGGCAGGGCCCAGAGGAAAGTCAGCCTGGAATGTTCCGTTGACCTTGGGCCCTGCAGAGAACCTACGTTCATGGGCCTCCCCCTCCCTGGATAGATGGTACATGTCATAGGAGCTCCGGGAGCTGCAGGACAAGGTCACGCTCTCTCCTGCCAGAACCGTGGGGCCCGGCTGGGCTGAGAGAGAAGGTTTCTCATATAGACCTGGAAGGAGAAGAGGCATTTTCCTTACGGAGGATCTTCCTTGTCACAGCTCCCTTCACCTGAGCTGAGAACTCACTCCCCTGCTCTATGACCTAATGCTCTCTCTCTCTGTCTCTCACCCTCCACCCCATCTCTCTTCATGTCTATTTCCTCCTTCCACCTTCTCTGTCTCTCTAGGTCTCTGACCTCGCTTCCACACCTCTAGATATGTTTTCCCTTTTTGGATTCTTTTATTCTCTCTGACTCTCCTTGGATTGGTTGACTTGATGTTACTTTTTTAAATTCTAAGTTTCTCACTTTGTGTCCTGTTCATAACTTTCTGCATATTTCTATCTATTATCTATCGATCTATCTATTTATCTATTCGGTGCCTATCTACAAATTCTCTACCTGTCATCTATGTCTATATATCATCTATGTATCTATCACTTGTCTATCTATCCATCAATCATCTGTTATCTATATCTATGTATCATCTCTCTCTCTATGACTTCTGTCTGCCTCTCTATCTCTATGTATTATCTATCTGTCTTCATCATCATCATCTCTATGTCTCATCTATTAATGAATCAATCAATCATCATCTATGTATCTTTAACCTATTATCTATCATCTACCTATTTATCATCTATCTATATCTAACCTTCTATCATCTGTCTTGCTCTGCCTCTCGGTCTCTCTAGTTCTCTTTGGAATCTCTGCAATTCATCCCCACATCTCCATCTTTCTATGTCCTTGTGCCTCTCCCTCAGGAGTCTAATTTTAGTGCTTTTCTCTGCTCCCTTCCATCATTCTCACCACTCCTCTGCCCTCTTTTCTCTCTCTTTATGTGTCTGTGAGTCTCTCAATCTCCTTCCTCTGGCTCATTCTCTGTGTGTTTATGTCTTTGCTTTTTGGTGTCCCTGATTTCTCTCTGTGCCTCTCAGTGATCCTTTCATATGTGGGGTTATTTGGAATGTGAGCCTCAGAATCCAGTCTGGAGACCACAAGTTCACACAGCATACAGGAGTTGGTGTTCTGGGGCCATGATATCCTGGGACGGTTACTCTCCATTACATGGAAGGCAGAGGTGTCAGAATAAACACGGCATCTGTAGGTGCCACAAGGCCTGAGGCCACAGGGCCCAACTCAGGTCAGAAATATGGGTGTCCTTGGGTTCTCCTGGTAGAGAACACTTTGTGGAGGTAAAACAGAAATGAAACTTCTAACCTGTGCCAGGTCTCTGAGCAAAGTCAGCATGGAGGGACACCTCTCTCTGGGACATGTCTGTCTGTCTGTCTCCTTTAACTCCTTCTGTCTTTTCTAACTCCCGGTATGGCCCCTGTGTCTGTCCTCTGTTATGACACCTGGTCTGTACTTGTGTCTCCTGTTTCTCTGTCTCTGTTGGTACAGACCTCACCAAGTCAGTCTCTCTCCATAAGAATACCAAGCTCATCTTCCTTACAACTACCTGGGGGTTCCAAGTCGTGGATCATTCACTCTGCATCCCAATGACAATGAGAAGAATGTCCGGACACTCTCACCTGTGATGACGATGTCCAGAGGGTCACTGGGAGCTGACAACTGATGGGGGAGTGAGTAACAGAACCGTAGCATCTGTAGGTCCCTGCCAGGTCTTCCATCATGGGACCGATGGAGAAGTTGGCCTTGGAAACCCCATCATGGTGCTCTCCAGTGAGGTGCAAAGTGTCGTTAAACTTCCCTTCTCTGTGCAGAAGGAAGTGCTCAAACCTGACATCTGACCAACATTGCAGGATGACTGTCTCTTCTGATTTCACCAGGGGACCTGGGTGGGCCAGGAGGGAAGGTTTTCTGTGGACTCCTAGGAAGAGAGGTTGTGAGTTTAGAAGGTGTCTCTCTTTATCATCCCATCCATGGCACCTAGAATGAGTGAGGCTTCCCCTTGCTGGTGTCTGTCTCTCTCCTTCCTCTCTGTGTCTTCATGTTCTTTTCTGTGCCCATAACTCCTGGTGCAGGTCCTTCCATCTGTCTCCCTCCCTCTTCTCTGTCCCTCTGTCTCTAGTCGCCTCTGATTCCCTTCCCACTGGGCTTAGCCTCATCTCTTGGGGTGTTGTATCTATTTCACACTAATGTCTTTCCTGCTGTTTATGTGGGGGTGAAAGAGGAACCAGGATAGGCTGCACATCCAGCCTCTTATCAGCCTGGTTCAATCTCTTTTGGATGAATTGGAATCCTTGGCAGTAGGTATGAACTGATGAATAAGGCAGGCACCAGTGTCCACACACCCTGTTCCTGGTCGGGACTGGGAGCCACTCTTGCCATGCCTGTGCCTTCTCCATGGTGCCAGCTTCCATAGGCTGGCTCCTGGTGCTGGTTTGAGGAGTATCAACCCCTCCCTATGTGGATGGAGCCTGGTGGTGGCATCATCATCCCACACTTGCTCATCTCGGTGTAGCCAACCTTCCCCTTGTTTGGTTCCTTTAATTAATTAATTAATTATGGAGACAGAGTCTCACTCCTTCACCCCAGCTGGAGTGAAGTGGTGTGGTCTAGGGTCACTGCAACCTCTGTCTCCTGGGTTCAAGTGATTCTCCTGCCCTCAGCCTCCCAAGTCGCTAGGATTACATGCGCCTGCCACCACACCCGGCTATCCTTGTGTTGTTTCTTACCTTGTCCTTGACCTGGGTTCCAGTGTTGGTTTCCTGTTGCTGCTGTAGAAAATTATCAGAAGCATGGCAGCAGGAGAGAGCACACTGACCCATTTCACTACTGGAGACAGAAATAGGACCCTGTTTTTCCTGGGCTAAAATCAAGGCATCTGCAGGGCTTCGTTCCCTCTGGAGACTCTGGAGAATCATTTCCTTGACTTTTCCAACCTCTACAGGCCACCTGCATTCATGGCTCCTGGCCTTCCTCCACCTTCAAAGCTGGTGGAGTCTCCCATTGCGCTGCTCTAATCCCCACTCCCCTCTTCCTCCTCCTTTCATGTGGACCCTTGTGATTACACTGAGCCCAGCGGGACAGTCCAGGCTGTCTCCCCATCTCAAGGTCAACTCATCAACAACCTGAGCTCCATCTTCCCCTTCAGTTCCTTCCCCTATAACATAAATAGTCACAGACTCCAGGGATTTGAATGTAGTCATCACTGGGGACAATTATTCTTCCCACCACAGCACCCATTTCCCTGTATTCAATCCCCCTTTACCCCAAATATAGTCAGGGCCTGGGTGATGGGACCCTCAAGGACACGCCCACCAGAAGCTCTGGGATTCAGGAGGTGGGAAAGGAGAATCCAAGACAGGAGCCCTCTGACCTGTGGCCATGATCACCAGGGTGTTGCTGGGTGCCGACCACCCACTGGGGTAGTGTGGGTGTGAACCCCGACATCTGTACGTCCCTGTGTGTGCTGGGGTCACAGGGCCCATGAAAAGGCTCTTCCAGAATATTCTGTTGTAGAGCTCAGTGCCAGGCACCCCATCTTCCTTTTACAGACTGAAGTTGTTAAACCCAAGATAAGAATGACACCGAAGAATCACATGTCCTGGAGGCACCACAGAGCTGGGCCAGGCAGACAGCAAGGGCTTGTCCTGACCACCTTGGGGAGAAGGAGGCACCGCCTTAGAGAGGAGGATGTGGAGCCACCCCTCCCTCCCTGTGCTCTGAAGATTCTCCTCGCTTTCCAAGTTTCTATGGCTGCTATCACACCTTGGTGCCCAGGGCTAAAGGAAGGACCCATCCCGCAAACACAAGGTGTCTCCCTACAACAAAAGTGTCAGCTGAGAACTTTGAGCAAGTGCTGAGTAAGAGACTCCTACTAGATTTTAATACTGTAAGATTACTCACATAAAACAACACAGGGTAGACATGGGGTGGAGGGCATGTCTTTGAGAATGGAATATCAGCAGATGCCTGAATGAAAATAAGCAACTGAGCCCCCATCAGAGGATTTGGAATGTCAGGGCCATGGCTGTGGTTTCCCACCTCTTCTGGTGGAGTGACAGCAGCCACACTGCAGCCCCTACCGTCATGGAAACGCTGAAGTGTGAGTAACACCTTTGTCCTCAGAGGATCTGCTGTTCCTACCACTTCCCCACCACGCACCCCAGCTTTGAGCACCCCAGTCTAACCCTGGTCCCCACAGAACTTGACTCTGCCAAGGGAATGAAAGGCCAGGGAGGCGAGGTCGGAACTGTGGGCCGAGCACCCCAGGGTCCCCTCTTCCTAGTTTATGAGAGGCTCCCTGACAGGACTTCCCTCCTGTTTCAGGAAAATCCTCTTATGTGGGGAGATGACACCCGAAGGTTTGGAGAAGGACTCACCCTCATGTGGCCAGGCCCCCTGCAGCAAGAAGAACCCTGGAAAGAAAGATCATGATGGACGATCCATCTGCAGGCAAACCAGGGCACCCTTGCTGCCCTCACTGGGCTGTGAGTCTTGGTAGGCAGGCCCTTCCTGGACTGAAGTTAAACTCACCCTCAGTGCCTACCTGCACCCAAGAACAGGGCTGTCGGCTGTGCAGAGACCCAGCCTCCAAGCCCAGATCCCCACCACAAGCCCATATCCCCACCACAAGCCCATATCTCCACTCCAGGCCAATATTTCCACCCTAGGCCTGTATCTCCACTCCAGGCCCATATCTCCACTCCAGGCCGATATTTCCATCATAGGCCCATATCGCCAATCCAGGCCCATATCGCCAATCCAGGCCAAGATCTCCACTGTAAGCCCATATCTCCAATCCAGGCCCATATCTCCACCCCAGGCTCAGATCTCCACCCTAGGCCCATATCTCCAATCCAGGCCCATATCTCCACACCAGGCCCATATCTCTACTGAAGGCCAGTAACTCCACCTCCAGGCCCATATCTCCACTCCAGGCCCAGATCTCCACCCCAAGCCCATATCTCCACCCCAGGCCCATATCTCTACTGAAGGCCCGTAACTCCACCTCCAGGCCCATATCTCCACCCCAGGCCCAGATCTCCACCCCAAGCCCATATCTCCACTCTAGGCCCATATCTCCTCTCCAGTCCCATATCTCCACAACCAGGCCCATATCTCCATCCTAGGCCCATATTTCCACTCTAGGCCCAGATATCCACCTCTAGGCCCATATCTCCACTCCTGGCCCAAATCTCCACTCCAGGCCCATATCTCTACTATAGGCCTATAACTCCACCTCCAGGCCCATGTCTCCACTCCAGGCTCCTATCTCCCCTCCAGGTTCCTATCGGCACTCCAGGCCCAGATCTCCACTTCTAGGCCCATCACTCCATCTCTAGGCCCATATATCCACTCCAGGCCCAGATCTCCACTCCAGGCCCACAACTCCACCTCCAGGCCTATATCTCCACCTCTGGGCCCAGATCTCCAACCCCACACTCCCTTCCTCTATTCCCTTCCAGGACTCACCAACACACGCCACGCTGACGACCGTGAGCGACATGGTGCTGCCGGTGCAGACAGGCGGCCGCGCCCCAGCTCAGCTCAGCAGCGCACAGGATGTTATTTGGCGCCCTGCCCATGCAGTTTACATGTTGACCACATCATGGGAGGGTGACGTACGCAGGCTCATTCTACCTTGCATGAGGCCCAGTGGGTGCTCGCTCAAGAGCGGAACACGGCTTCCTGGAAATTGTTCTCACTAGAATTTACACCTAGCGTCCTTCACTATGACCAACTCAAAACACGTCTCAGATCCAACCTCCTGAACACGAGATGCCTAAAATCTGTGCTAACGTGAAAGACTTTTCATGTATTTTTATTGTTTTTATCTGAGATTCAAACTCTTCTTCATGTGTAATATGCAAAATATCTAATAGGTATTATTAAGGTTTTCAGAGTCATTGTGACTAATAAACCATTAGAATTTTTCATGCTTGTATTTCTAGTATTACAGCAGAACCAGTTAAAATGATTTAAATTCCCAGGGAAGGATTATGCAATTATTTACAATCTTTGAATTGTACGTTATCAGCAAAAACCACACATTTAAACTCTGGATTTTTGTAGATTTATCTAAAATTTGTCTCATGACCCAAGTTTCCAGAGTCCCAACTCTGGAGTTTGTTCTCTCTCTGTCTCTCTGCCTCCCTCATTTTAAATTTTACAGAAATATCCAGTAACATAATGCTATAGAAAATCAAGTTTCCCCCAGCACGTCGGGAAGCCGAGGTGGGCGGATCAACTGATATAAGGAGTTTGAGAGCAGCCTGGCAACACAGTGAAACCGTGTCTCTGCTAAAAATCCAAAAATTAGCCGTGCCCAGTGGCAGGAACTTGTAACGCCAGCTACCCAAGAGGCTGAGGCACGAGAATCGCTTGAACCTGGGAGGCGGAGGTTGCAGTGAGCTGAGATTGCACCACTGCAGTCCAGCCTGGGCGACAGAGCAAGACTCCGCCTCAAGAAAAAAAAAAGCAAATAGCCTATAATAACAAATTAGAGGGCTCTGGCTACTAAATTTAAAGGGTTCTATAAGGCTACATAAAGTGTAGCATCATCAAGAGTGTGGACACAGACAGCCCCTTAGCAGAAACTGTCTAAAATACATCCATGTACACACAGTCCCTTTAGAGTTGACAAAGGCTGCCGTGTGGTTTAAGGTGGCATAGAATGTCTTCTCAATAAATAATATTAAACCAATGGGTTACACCTAGTAAAAAATAAATCTAACTCACACTATAAAAACACTTCTTAGTTTTTATCTAGTTGTACATTTTTTGATTTATATTTAAATTTGAGAAATAAAAGTCATATACGGTCATCCTTCACTATTCGTGGGTGATTGGTTTCGAGATCTCCACTCAGATACCAAAATCTGTAGATGCTCAAGCCTCTTATATGAAATGGCACAGCGCTTGCAAATAACATATGCACATCCTCCTGTATACATGAAATCATCTCTTGATTACTTATAATTCCTGATACAGCCTACACACAGCTTCATTTGTGTCCATTCAACATAGTTATGAGTTTTGGAACTCTGTGGATATTTTCTCTGAATATTTTTGATTTATACTTTGTTCAATAAAGACCTGTAAACCCCACAGATACGGAGGAGTGACCGTATATTTATAGTATGAAAGATGATGTGTTGATATGTGTCCCCATGGAGATGAGACTAACAAGGCCTATGACTCTACAAATGTTTCATTGTGGAATGACTCTGCCAGCTTTCCAGGTCTGCAGAGAGTAACAATGTCACTTGTTCATGTGATTCCCGATCCTTGGAACCTCCTATGTGCTGCATCTTTGGATGGAAATTGGAGTCCCAGAGACAAATGAGGCTCCACACTGCTTCCAGAAGCTCAGAGTCCAGAGGTGAGAACCCCGTGGAGAACAGATGGGATTATATGGACATGGTACTGATAACACCGGAAGCCTTAGGCAAGAAAAGAGTCCCATTACCTAAACCATGAGGGCAGACATGTTTATTTGAAGGAGGGAAAACTACATTGAAATTATTTTAAAAAATATATAAGTTTTACTGCTGACAGAAGGCTGAAAGCTAGTCTGAGGGGAGGTGGAACAGCATGAGGGAAGGTGGAACAGCACGTGTCTAAGTGCCGTGTTAAGAGGGAGCCTCTTGTATGTTTGGAATTGTGAGTTCCTCAGTGTGATTGCAGCCTCAAATAGACTAGGAAGTAAGCCAGTTAGGTTGGAGAGGTGGGCAGGGGTCAAGTGAAATGGAGAATTGTGGGCTAAGCAAAGGAGTGTGTTTTCTCTCCAGCAGGCAGTGGGGACCTTAGACATTTGTAAGCAAGAGAGAGGCACGTTCAGATTTGTGGTGTGAGGAAGAGCGATGCCCTAAGATGCAGACTCACGCCTTCAGATTCCAGCTGCTGGTACATTGGAGCTGGCAACCCAGTTTTGAGACAGGGCTGTTGTCTCCCTAGAAGATCCCCTCAAGGCCTGACTGTGGTGCTCATGGGCAGGAGACAACTTTGGATCAGGGCTCAGCATTTGGAAGTTCCGTGTACACGATGATATCTGTTGGGGGTGTCTTGGGCCTCTGAGAAGGGTGAGTGATTTTTCTCTGTGTGAAAACGCAGTGATTCAACTGTGCATATGTCACCTCCTGAGGGTCTTGTTCATCAGAGTCCTGGAGAGAGGGAAATCCTGAGTGAGGGAGGGTGCTCACATTTTCCAGGACTCTTTGGGAATAACACTAGCCACGAGGCTGGGCCGAGGAGCACCTACCTCCCTGTTCACTGTTCTGTTCCCTGCAGGCTCTTGGTCCATTACAACAGCATCTGTAGAAGACGGAAGTCAACAAAACAGCTCAGAGGGCACTTCTGGGCCCTCATTTCATAAGCAGATACCAACATACAGGGGGAGACCATAGGAGCCTGAGGTCCCTCAGTTGCCAACAGCAGACTCAGACATTCTATCTCTCTGAGCTCAAGGACCCATCCCATGAATAGCTCTGAGTTCCCATCCCATTGATTCTGTCTCCCACTTTCTGCCTGTCATGGAACCTTCTCCTGGATGTGAGTGGCTGCAGGGGACATGAGGATACAGTTCAGAATCAGGCAATGGTCTGTGAGCTGAAGGCAGGGACAGGGAGTCTGGTGCTCTCTCTAGAAAGTCCTCCCTCTGTGGCTGCTGCCTTGGGCCAGGGACCATCCTGTCTGTGAGGAACACACACCTGAGTGCTCCCATCCTGCTTCCCCACATGGCCCTGAGCTCTCTGGCCTCTGCTTCGTGAGACTTACTTTTTTTGTTGCAGCACCAGCGATGAAGGAGAAAGAAGAGGAGGAGGATGAAGAGGATGATGACCACTGAGGTCCCAATCAGAACATGCAGGTGTCTGGGGTTACCTGGAAGAAGAGGAGACACCAATAAGAAGCTAATCATAGCAGTTCCTCTTTATGAATTGTCTCACATTTCTTGATTGACAGGTAACCACATACAACACCCCTTTAGGACAAGCACCCAGATGGAGGGAGACCCAGCTTTCTCCTGCTTTCTCAGTTATAGCTCTCATAGTAACCATAGAACGTGTTGAGGATACAACTACTTTAGTTGAGATGTTTGACCCCTTCAAACCTCACATTGAAATTTCACCCCCACTGTGGGAGGTTGGGCCTCTTGAGAGGTGTTTGGGTCATGGAGGTGGATCCATCATGAACAGACCAATGCTGTCCCAAGGAGACGGGGTTAGCAAGTTCCCCTTCTATTAGTTCCTGGAGAGCTGGTTGTTCAAAAGAGCTTGGAAGCTCCATCGCTCCCCCTCCCCCTTGCTCCCTCTCTTGCCGTGTGATCTCTGTGGTCTCTGCACAGACAGACCCTCCTTCCCTTCTGCCAGAGTGGGAGCAGCCTGAGGCCGTCACGAGAAATAGATGCTGGTGCCACGCTTCCAGTATAGCCTGCAGAACTGTGAGGCAAACCAATCTCTTTTCTCTAGAAGTTACCCAGGCTCAAGTGTTCCTTTAGAGCAACAAAAATGGACTAAGACAGCAACGTCCTGAGATCAGGAGGAACGTCTCAGAACAGCCTGGGCTGTCTTCCTGTTCTTCCTGGAGGAGGACGTCATGCAGTGCTTTAGCTGAGTGCTTCCTGTGGCTCCACAGTACAAAACCCAGGCTGGGCTGCTCTCTGGCTTCCCCCAGCTACACTGCAAATGGGGTGACTCCATATGTCCCGAGGAGCTTTTCTGAGCCTTGAGGGACTGGCTCACATTGAAATGTAGGTTTCTGTTGTCACTCGCTGCTTATCTGTTAGTAATGAACCTGCCTGTGTAATGTATTCTCTGTGTGTTCTGTCTCCCTGGAGTGACGGTGAGTGATAGGAATTGGCATAAGCCCAGGTGCAGTCCAGGAGGTATTTAGAGTCTTCTCTGGGAAGACTGCACTGGGATTGATACACAGCGAATGTGCTTTAGGATTTCTACATCCACAGCATTCTTGAATCAAACAACTTGCATTCTCCAAGAAAAGGAAACAAAAGTGAAATCAAGATAAAAAAAGCTAAGTAGAATTCTCTTATGTCAAATGGCCAGGAAATAGTGTTGAAGCCCGTGTGAAACGTGCTACTCTTTGTGATCTCGGGAGACACATGTTAGGCTGCTGTTCTACCCGAGAGGCTGGGGGAAGGACCACCCCCTCGGCCATCTATTGCTTCAATACCACCTGTCCTCCTGTGAATTAGTAGGAAAGGGGAGCAGGAGCTAGTGCTGGCACTGATCTCTGATTCCAAGATCTGGACTCACTCCAAGGAGTATCAATGTTTACCTCCCCATAGCCTATCTGAATCTCCACAGGTGATTGGAAGTAGGGGTGAGGTGGGGGATTTGGGTGAGTGGGCAAGTTTTTTGTTGCGATGAACAGAGCACTTTCTCTATTCCACGATCTGTGCTGGAGGATTCTGAGGGCTTTCACATTTTCTATGTGATCTCATTCTCACAGAAAGCCAAATAGGGAAGAGGTTTTAAGCTCATTGCCTAATGGATAAGATAAAGGATCAAAGAAGTAATTATAGAGAAATAGAAAAACGATGATTGGAATTCAGGTGCCTTTGTCATTCGTGTGTGTTTTATTATATTTATGTATTTCTTATTTTTATTTTTTGAGATAGAGTCTCCTTGTGTCCCCCAGGCTGGAGTGCAGTGATGCAATCTCCACTCACTGCAACCTCCACCTACTGGGTTGAAGTCGTTCTCCTGCTTCATCCTCCAGAATAGGAGCTGGGATTACAGGGATGCACCATCGTGCTCGGCTAATTTTTGTATTTTTAGTAGAGATAGGGTTTCACCACGTTGGCCAGGCTGGTCTGGAACTCCTGACTTCATGGAATCCACCCACCTTGGCCTCCTGCAGTGCTAGGTTACAGGCGTGAGCCACTGTTCACAGACTTGTATATTATGCTATAATAAGTCTCTTCATTTCCACCACCACTCATATATCTGTCACTCCTTTGCCAGGTATTGATTTATGTGTAGGATGAATAAATCTCAGAAAGAAATTAATTAAGCGAGGATTAAACAAGTAGGAAAATCAAACCCAGTAAGCCTTTCCAGTCAACGATTCTACCTCACAAACATATCTTATATCCATCTACTTCATTCATTTAGTGTCTAAATCAGCACCACATTTCACCAGTGGGGCGGCAATTGCCTTTTCCACGGTCTCCTAGATTCCAGTTATGCAACTGAGCCTCCCTTATTTTCATGTCCGTCATATTAATCATGTAGGGATTCCTGGTTACCCCGAGGTGAATCCAATGGCTGTGAGTGTCAAACACACACTCCTTGTTGCTCCTTAGTTTCCTGTGTACCCAGTGTGCTCTCCGTCTCCCTACAGTCGTCTTGTCATTCTCCCCACCTCATTCCCAGCATTTGAGGCAGAGCCTCTTCCTTCCACATCAGATTGTTTTCACCTTTGTGCCTTCACGGCTGACAGCTGTGTGTGCAAAATCCTTCCGCCAATCTTTCAGGGGTTCAATCCGTGTTTTTCATTAATGTCACAAATATCTGAATAGAGAGACCTTCTTTGTCACCTGAAATCATACACTCAGCATTATCTATTATTGATTTTGAATTCTGGCTGGGCACAGTGGCTCACGCCTGTAGTCCCATTACTTTGGCATGCTGAGACGGTCGGATCACTTGAGGTTGGGAGTTTCAGACAAGCTTGGCCAACGTGGTGAAACATCCTTTCTACAAAAAATATACAAAAAGAATTAGCCGGGCACGGTGGCAGTTGCCTGTAATCCCAGCTACTCGAGAGGCGGAGGCAGGAGAATCACTTGAATCCAGGAGACGCAGGTTGCAGTGAGCCAAGATCGTGACACTGCACTGTAGCCTGGAAGACAGAGGGCGACTCTGTCTCAATAAACAAAAGAACAAACAAAAAATAGATTTCATGCACAGATGCTTCCCAATGGATCATTCATTTATAGATCCACTTGTGCATTCATTTTCTGCCCTCCCATTTAACCATCTGCAATATCAGTGTCCCAAGGGCAGCGGCCAAATGCATCTTGTTCACCGTTTGTGGAAGGCAGGAGAATGCTGTCCCACCCCAAAATGTCCCTGTCCTAGCCTCCATAGCTTGTGAATATGTTATTTTACATGGAAAGGAGGAATGAAGATTGTAGATGGAATTGCGGTTGCTAATCAGCTGAACTTAAAACAAGGGTATCCTGGATGATTTCCAGGAGATTATGAGGGATTTTCATCTTGGTGAACCCAATAGAATCCCCAAGTTTTCAAAAGATAAGGAAGAAGGGAGAGCAGCATTCAGAGAAAGAGGTGTGGTAAGGAAGAAGGCACTGAGTGATGCCATGTGAGATGTGACCAGTCTTTGTGGGCTTTGAGGAAGGAGGAAGGGGAACAGGAGCCAAGGAACTGGGAGCCTTTAGAAGCTGGGATAAGTGAGAAGCAGATTCTTGCCTGGAATCCTCAGAGGGAAGGCAGCCTTGCTGTCACCTTGATTTTAGCCCAGTAAGATGCACTTCCTACTTTGAGCTACAGCACTGTAAGATAATTAAAAAACCGTTTTGTTTTCACCCACGAATCTTGTGGAAATTTGTTATGGCAACAATAGGAAAAGGTTCCGCACTGCACAGCCTGAGCATGGGGCCGTGGCTGAATGAGTCAGTGAGTCGAAGTGTGCGTGCATGAGCTCCGTTCTCTGTTACGGCAAGGCTGTTGCTCTGCTGAGTCAGCCAGGGTTGCTTCATGACCAACAGTAATTCATTCCTTGGCAAGTGGAACTTCTCTAAAACACCTCGCCCTCATCAGATGTTCCCTTCCCTTCCCTCTCTCAAGCCCCCAGGAATTTATCCTCCAGTTAGGAATGCAGGCAGAACAAACATTGCATTTTTCCTGAGAAGGATGTCAGATTGGCAATCATTCTTCTAGCTTGTAGGAGATCTCAGCTCCATAAAATGAGAGATTAAGAGATTTCACTGAGCCCTAGGTTGGGCCCAGATCCCTTTCGCTGTTGGAGTATCTGGAGTTCGGAGATGGTAGAAGACAGGCGTACAATGTCAGAGCTGCGAGATGCTGAGTCAATGCCTGCATCGAAGGTTTCTACCTCCCCAGGTTTCCAAAAGCGGATATAAGAGGGTTCTGTACTCACCGGTTTCGGAGCTTGGTTCAGTGGGTGAAAGCCAACTATTTGAAGGGTTTCCTAGAACATGAGACAGGAGAGAGGTGAGGAAATGAGGGTGTCTGTCCTCTACTCAATGGAAATCTTTGAGGTTGGTTCATGGCCAACACTCTGTTATCTAATATTGGGCCCTGGGAGTCCTGGGATCCTTTTTTCCGTAATTTTTGTATGTGACGCCCACTGTCTTGAGACTTCAAGGTATAAAGAGAAAACAGGAGCATCACACTACCTGATCTCAAAATATGTTACAGAGCTGTAGTAAGCAAAACAGCATCACATTGGCATAAAGAAAGGCACGTAGAACAATGGAGCAGAATGAAGAACACAGATATAATCCATGCATTTACCTCCAATGTTTTTTTCTTTTTTCTTTTGAGATGGAGTCTCGCTCTGTCGCCCAGGCTGGAGTGCAGAGGTGCAATCTCGGTTCACTGCCACCACAGCCTCCTGGGTTCAATCAATTCTCTGGCCTCAAACTCCTGAGTAGTGGTATTACAGGTGCTGACCACCATGCTCAGCTAATTTTTATATTTTTAGTGGAGACAATGTTTCATCACGTCGGCCAGACTAATCTTGAACTCCTGGCCTCAGGTGATCCACCCGCCTTGGGCTCCCAAAGTGCTGAAATTGCAGGTGTCAGCCACCATGCCCAGCCCATCCAATGGACTTTGACAAAGGTGCCAAGAACTCACAATCAGGAAAGGACAGTCTTTTCAATAAACAGTGCAGGGAAACCTGGACATCTACATGCAGAGGAATGAAACTGCACCTCTACCTGTCACTATACACAAAACTCAAATGAAAATGGATTAAAGATGTGAGTCTAAGGCCTGAACCTATGAAACACGTAGAAGAAAATATTGGGGAAATGCTCCAGGACATTTGTCTGAAGGAAGACATTTTGTTTTAAACCTTCAAAACACAAGTAATCGAAGCAAAAATAGACCATTGGGATTACCTCAAACTAAGCAACTTCTGCACCGCTAAAAATAAACCAACAAAGTGAAGAGACAACCCACAGATTGGGAGCAAATATGTGCAAACTATGCATCTGAGATGGGATTAATAACTAGAAATATAAGAAGCTCAAACAACTCAATAAAACAAATGATTTAATTGAAAAAGGAGCAAAACACATGAAATTTCCCCACATACTAAAAAGTGCTCAGTTTCACTCATCATCAGAGAAACACAAATTAAAATCAAAGTGAGTTTTCATCTCACCCCATTAAAATGGATTTTAGGCCGGGCGTGGTGGCTCACGTCTGTCATCCTAGACCTTTGAGAGCCTGAGGTGGGTGAATCTCATAAGGTCGGGAGTTTGAGACCAGTCTGACCCACATGGAGAAACACTGTCTCTACTAAAAATACAAAATTTAGTTGGGCGTGGTGGCGTGTGCCTGTAATTCCAGCTACTCGGGAGGCTGAGGCAGGAGAATCGCTTGAACCTGGGAGGTGGAGGTTGTGGTGAGCCGAGATCGCACCACTGCACTCCAGCCTGGGTGACAAGAGCGAAACTCCATCTCAAAATAAAATGAAATAAAATAAAATGGCTTTTAGCTGCAAGACAGGCAAAGGAAATCCTGCCAAAGTGGTAGAGAAAGGAGAACCCTAATACCCTGTTGGTAGGAGTGTAAATTAGTACAGCCTTTACGGAGAAAAGTGTGGAAGTCCTTTAAAGAACTAAAAAGAGGTTGGGTGAGGTGGATCATGCCTGTAATCCCGGCACTTTGGGAGACCGAGGCGGGCACCTCAGTTGAGGTCATGAGTTTGAGAGCAGCCCAGCCAACATGGGGAAACCGCATCTATACTAAAAAAAACAAAAAGTAGCCAGGCATGGTGGCGTGCACCTGTAATCCCAGCTACTAGGGAGGCTGAGGCAGGAAAATCATTTGAACCCAGGAGGCGGAGGTTGCAATGAGCCAAGATGACTTCACTTGTACTCCAGCCTGGGCACAGAGGGAAACTGTCTCAAAAACAAAAACAAAACAACAAACGAATAACTAAAAAGAGAACTTTCATAGTATCCAGCAATTTCACTACTGGGTTTATATCCAAAGGAAAGTAAATCAATATATCGAAGTGATATCTGCACTCGTATGATTGGTGCAGCACTGTTCACAGTAGCCAAGATGTGGAGTCAACCTACCTGCCCATCAGTGGATGAATGGATAGAGAGAATGTAGTACATACGCACAGTGGAGACTACTCATCCATAGAAAGAATAACATCCTGATATTTGCAGCCACATGGATGGAACTGGAAGTCATTACAAAGATTCCCATTTCTCACCCATATACAGAGCTAAAAGGTGGATCTCATGAAGGTAGAGAGTAGAATGGTGGCTTCCAGAGGCCAGGAATAAAAGGGTGGAGGGTAAAAAAAAAAAAAAAAAAAAAAAAATATATATATATATATATATATATATATATATATATATATATATGTATATATGTGTGTGTGTGTGTATATATATATATATATATATATATATAAATGTATTTATGACCACTAGACTTTACACTTAAAAATGGTAAATGTGGCTGGGCGTGGTGGCTCATGCCTGTAATCCCAGCACTTTGGGAGGCAGATGCGGGTGGATCACGTGGTCAGGAGTTGGAGACCAGCTCGACCAACATGGTGAAACCCCCTCTCTACTAAAAATACAAAAAGTAGCCTGGCGTGGTGGTGCGCGCCTGTAGCACCAGCTACTCAGGTGGCTGAGGCAGGAGAATCACTTGAACCCAGGAGGCGGAAGTTGCAGTGAGCTGAGATTGTGCCACTGCACTCCAGCATAGGGGACAGAGCTAGACTCTGCCTCAAAAAAAAAAAAAATGTTAAAGGTGGTAAGCTATATAGGTATATTTATCCTCAATAAATATTTCTTCAAACAAAAGTAAAGGGTGTAGGGGTTGCTGGTGATGACATCCCTGTGTGGGTGAGAGGCCAGGATGGGCTTCTGGGAAATGGGTAATGTTGAGGGGCTGAGGGAACCTCTGATCTTCCCAAACTGAGCCCAGTCTCTCTCCTCTGCGTCTCTCCTGACCGTTTTCTCCATCTGCCTGTGTGCCTGGAGCCCTGGCCGCGGGCCTTCATGCAGGCCGTGTAGGAGGGTTTGGAGGTGCCCTGTCTGCCATCCTGTGCCCTGATCCCTCCCTCACACCCAAGCTTCGTCTTCTCTCTGCATCTGTCCATGCTTCTCTCCATCATCAGCAGGAAGCTCCTCAGCTAAGGCTCTAGGATCATAGGACATGAGACAGATATGGGGTTTCCTCACCTGTGACAGAAACAAGCAGTGGGTCACTCGAGTTTGACCACTCGTATGGAGAGTCACGGAAAGAGCCGAAGCATCTGTAGGTTCCTCCGTGGGTGGCAGGGCCCAGAGGAAAGTCGGCCTGGAATGTTCCGTTGACCTTGGGCCCTGCAGAGAACCTACGTTCATGGGCCTCCCCCTCCCTGGATAGATGGTACATGTCATAGGAGCTCCGGGAGCTGCAGGACAAGGTCACGCTCTCTCCTGCCAGAACCGTGGGGCCCGGCTGGGCTGAGAGAGAAGGTTTCTCATATAGACCTGGAGGAGAAGAGGCATTTTCCTTACGGAGGATCTTCCTTGTCACAGCTCCCTTCACCTGAGCTGAGAACTCACTCCCCTGCTCTATGACCTAATGCTCTCTCTCTCTCTCTCTCACCCTCCACCCCATCTCTCTTCATGTCTATTTCCTTCTTCCACCTTCTCTGTCTCTCTAGGTCTCTGACCTCGCTTCCCCACCTCTAGATATGTTTTCCCTTTTTGGATTCTTTTATTCTCTCTGACTCTCCTTGGATTGGTTGACTTGATGTTACTTTTTTAAATTCTAAGTTTCTCACGTTGTGTCCTGTTCATAACTTTCTGCATATTTCTATCTATTATCTGTCGATCTATCTATTTATCTATTCGGTGTCTATCTACAAATTCTCTACCTGTCATCTATATCTATATATCATCTATGTATCTATCACTTGTCTATCTATCCATCAATCATCTGTTATTTATATGTATGTATCATCTCTCTCTCTATGATTTCTGTCTGCCTCTCTATCTGTACGTATTATCTGTCTTCATCATCATCATCTCTATGTATTATCTATTAATGAATCAATCAATCATCATCTATGTATCTTTAACCTATTATCTATCATCTACCTATTTATCATCTATCTATATCTATCCATCTATCATCTGTCTTGCTCTGCCTCTCGGTCTCTCTAGCTCTCTTTGGAATCTCTGCAATTCATCCCCACATCTCCATGTTTCTATGTCCTTGTGCCTCTCTCTCAGGACTCTAATTTTAGTGCTTTTCTCTGCTCCCTGCCATCATTCTCACCACTCCTCTGCCCTCTTTTCTCTCTCTTTATGTGTCTGTGAGTCTCTCAATCTCCTTCCTCTGGCTCATTCTCTGTGTGTTTATGTCTTTGCTTTTTGGTGTTCCTGATTTTTCTCTGTGCCTCTCAGTGATCCTTTCATATGTGGGGTTATTTGGAATGTGAGCCACAGAATCCAGTCTGGAGACCACAAGTTCACACAGCATACAGGGGTTGGTGTTCTGGGGCCATGATATCCTGGGACGATTACTCTCCATTACATGGAAGGCAGAGGTGTCAGAATAAACATGGCCTGTAGGTGCCACAAGGCCTGAGGCCACAGGGCCCAACTCAGGTCATAAATATGGGTGTCCTTGGGTTCTCCTGGTAGAGAACACTTTGTGGAGGTAAAACAGAAATGAAACTTCTAACCTGTGCCAGGTCTGTGAGCAAAGTCAGCATGGAGGGACACCTCTCTCTGGGACATGTCTGTCTGTCTGTCTCTTTTAACTCTTTCTGTCTTTTCTAACTCCCTGTATGGCCCCTGTGTCTGTCCTCTGTTATGACACCTGGTCTGTACTTGTGTCTCCTGTTTCTCTGTCTCTGTTGGTACAAACCTCAGCAAGTCAGTCTCTCTCCATAAGAATACCAAGCTCATCTTCCTTACAACTACCTGGGGGTTCCAAGTCGTGGATCATTCACTCTGCATCCCAATGACAATGAGAATGTCCGGACACTCTCACCTGTGATGACGATGTCCAGAGGGTCACTGGGAGCTGACAACTGATAGGGGGAGTGAGTAACAGAACCGTAGCATCTGTAGGTCCCTGCAAGGTCTTGCATCATGGGACCGATGGAGAAGTTGGCCTTGGAGACCCCATCATGGTGCTCTCCAATGAGGTGCAAAGTGTCCTTAAACTTCCCTTCTCTGTGCAGAAGGAAGTGCTGAAACCTGACATCTGACCAACATTGCAGGATGACTGTCTCTTCTGATTTCACCAGGGGACCTGGGTGGGCCAGGAGGGAAGGTTTTCTGTGGACTCCTAGGAAGAGAGGTTGTGAGTTTAGAAGGTGTCTCTCTTTATCATCCCATCCATGGCACCTAGAATGAGTGAGGCTTCCCCTTGCTGGTGTCTGTCTCTCTCCTTCCTCTCTGTGTCTTCATGTTCTTTTCTGTGCCCTTAACTCCTGGTGCAGGTCCTTCCATCTGTCTCCCTCCCTCTTCTCTGTCCCTCTGTCTCTAGTAGCCTCTGATTCCCTTCCCACTGGGCTTAGCCTCATCTCTTGGGGTGTTGTATCTATTTCACACTAATGTATTTCCTGCTGTTTATGTGGGGGTGAAAGAGGAACCAGGATAGGCTGCACATCCAGGCTCTTATCAGCCTGGTTCAATCTCTTTTGGATGAATTGCAATCCTTGGCAGAAGGTATGAACTGATGAATAAGGCAGGCACCAGTGTCCACACACCCTGTTCCTGGTGGGGACTGGGAGCCACTCTTGCCATGCCTGTGCCTTCTCCATGGTGCCAGCTTCCATAGGCTGGCTCCTGGTGCTGGTTGGAGGAGTATCAACCCCTCCCTATGTGGATGGAGCCTGGTGGTGGCATCATCATCCCACCCTTGCTGATCTCAGGGTAGCCAACCTTCTCCTTGTTTGGTTTCTTTAATTAATTAATTAATTTTGGAGACAGAGTCTCACTCCTTCACCCAGGCTGGAGTGAAGTGGTGTGGTCTAGGCTCACTGCAACCTCTGTCTCCTGGGTTCAAGTGATTCTCCTGCCCTCAGCCTCCTGAGTCGCTAGGATTACATGCACCTGCCACCATGCCTGGCTTTCCTTGGGTTGTTTCTTAACTTGTCCTTGACCTGGGTTCCAGTGTTGGTTTCCTGTTGCTGCTGTAGAAAATTATCAGAAGCATGGCAGCAGGAGAGACCACACTGACACCTTCCAGTACTGGAGACAGAAATTGGACCCTATTTTTCCTGGGCTAAAATCAAGGCATCTGCAGGGCTTTGTTCCCTCTGGAGACTCTGGAGAATCAGTTCCTTGACTTTTCCAGCCTCTATAGGCCACCTGCATTCATGGCTCTTGGCCTTCCTCCACCTTCAAAGCTGGTGAAGACTTCCACTGGACTGCTCTAATCCCCACTCCCCTCTTCCTCCTCCTTTCATGTGCACCCTTGTGATTACACTGAGCCCAGTGGGACAGTCCAGGCTGTCTCCCCATGAGCTCCATCTTCCCCTTCAGTCCCTTCCCCTATAACATAAATAGTCACAGACTCCAGGGATTAGAATGTAGTCATCACTGGGGACAATTATTCTTCCCACCACAGCACCCATTTCCCTGTATTCAATCCCCCTTTACCACAAATACAGTCAGGGCCTGCGTGATGGGACCCTCAAGGACATGCCCACCAGAAGCTCTGGGATTCAGGAGGTGGGACAAGGAGAATCCAAGACAGGAGCCCTCTGACCTATGACCACGATCACCAGGGGGTTGCTGGGTGCTGACCACCCACTGGGGGAGTGTGTGTGTGAACCCCGACATCTGTATGTCCCTGTGTGTGCGGGGGTCACAGGGCCCATGAAAAGGCTGTTCCAGAATATTCTGTTGTAGAGCTCAGGGACAGGCACCCCACCTTCCTTGTACAGACTGAAGTTGTTAAACCCAAGATAAGAGTGACACCGAAGAATGACATGTCCTAGAGGCACCACAAGGCTGGGCCAGGCAGACAGCAAGGGCTTGTCCTGACCACCTTGGGGAGAAGGAGGCGCCGCCTTAGAGAGGAGGATGTGGAACTGCCCTTCCCTCCCTGTGCTCAGAAGATTCTCCTCGCTTTCCACGTTTCTATGGCTACTATCACACCTTGGTGCCCAGGGCTGAAGGAAGGACCCATCCCGCAAAGACATGGTGTCTCCCTACAACAAAAGCCTCAGCTGAGAACTTTGAGCAAGTGCTGAGTAAAGAGACTCCTACTAGATTTTAATACTGTAAGATTACTCACATAAAACAACACAGGGTAGACATGAGGTGGAGGGCATGTCCTTTGTGAATGGATATCAGCGGATGCCTGAACGAAAATAAACAACTGAGCCCCCATCAGAGGATTTGGAATGTCAGGGCCATGGCTGTGGTTTCCCACCTCTTCTGGTAGAATGACAGCAGCCACACTGCAGCCCCTACCATCATGGAAACGCTGAAGTGTGTGAGTAACACCTTTGTCCTCAGAGGATCTGCTGTTCCTACCACTTCCCAACCACACACCCCAGCTTTGAGCACCCCAGTCTAACCCTGGTCCCCACAGAACTTGACTCTGCCAAGGGGTTGAGAGGCCAGGGAGGCGAGGTCAGAAATGTGGGCTGAGCACCCCAGGGTCCTCTCTTCCTAGTTTATGAGAGACTCCCCGACAGGACTTCCCTCCTGTTTCAGGAAAATCCTCTTATGTGGGGAGATGACACCCGAAGGTTTGGAGAAGGACTCACCCTCATGTGGCCAGGCCCCCTGCAGCAAGAAGAACCCTGGAAAGAAAGATCATGATGGACCATCCATCTGCAGGCAAACCAGGCCTCCCTTGCTGCCCCCACTGGGCTGTGAGTCTTGGCAGCCAGGCCCTTCCTGGGCTGAAGTTAAACTCACCCTCAGTGCCTACCTGCACCCAAGAACAGGGCTGTCGGCTGTGCAGAGACCCAGTTTCCAGGCCCATATCCCCACCCCAAGCCCATATCTCCACTCCAGGCTGATATTTCCACCCTAGGCCCATATCGCCAATCCAGGCTCAGATCTCCACCCTAGGCCCCTATCTCCAATCCAGTCCCATATCTCCGCCCCAGGCCCAGATCTCCACCCTAAGCCCATATCTCCACTCCAGGCCCATATCACCTCTCCAGTCCCATATCTCCACACCCAGGCCCATATCTCCTTCCTAGGCCCATATCTCCACTCCAGGCCCAGATATCCACCTCTAGGCCCATAACTCCACTCCTGGCCCATATCTCCACTCCAGGCCCATATCTCTACTGCAGGCCCGTATCTCCACCTCCAGACCCATATCTCCACTCCAGGCCCATATCTCCACCTCCAGGCCCATATCTCCACCTCCAGGCCCATATCTCCACTCCAGGCCCATATCTCCACTCCAGGCCCATATCTCCACTCCAGGCCCCTATCTCTACTGCAGGCCCATATCTCCATCTCCAGGCCCATATCTCCATCTCCAGGCCCATGTCTCCACTACAAGCCCATATCTCTACTGCAGGCCCATATCTCAACCTCCAGGCCCATATCTCCACTCCAGGCCCAGATCTCCACTCCAGGCCCAGATCTCCACTTCTAGGCCCATCACTCCATCTCTAGGCCCATAACTCCACTTCCAGGCCTATATCTCCAACTCTGGGCCCCGATCTCCATCCCCGCACTCCCTCCCTCGATGCCCTTCCAGGACTCACCAACACACACCATGCTGACGACCATGAGCGACATGGTGCTGTCTGTGCAGACAGGCGGCCGCGCCCCAGCTCAGCTCAGCAGCGCACAGGATGTTATTTGGCGCCCTGCCCATGCAGTTTACATGTTGACCACATCATGGGAGGGTGACGTACGCAGGCTCTTTCTACCTTGCATGAGGCCCAGTGGGTGCTCGCTCAAGAGCGGAACATGGCTTCCTGGAAATTGTTCTCACTAGAATTGACACCTTGCGTCCTTCACTACGACCAGACTCAAAAGACGTCTCAGATCCAACCTCTCATACACGAGATGATTGAATTCTGTGCTTACATTAAAGATTTTTGATGTATTTTTGTTTTTATCTGAGATTCAAACTCTTCTTCATATGTAATGTGCAAAATGTCTAACAGGTATTATTAACATTATCAGAGTAATTGTGACAAGAAGCCATTCTAATTTTCCTGCTTGAGTTTCTACTACTAAACCAGAGGCATCAGAATAGCTTGAACCTGGGAGACGGAGGTTGCAGTGAGCTGAGCTCAAGCCACTGAACTCCAGCTTGGGTGACAGAGGAAGAGTCTGTCTCAAGAAAAAAAAAAAAAGCAAACTAAATAACCTATAATAACAAATCAGAGGACTCAGGTTACCAAATTTTAAGGGGTTCTATAAGTTTATATAAAATGCAGCATCCTCATGAGAGGGGATACAGAGAACCACTGGACAGAAAACTGTGTCTAAAATACATCTGTGGATACACAGTCCCTTTATAGTTGACAAAGGCTGCCATGTAGTTTAAGGTGGAATAGAATATTTTCTCAACAAATAACACAGGACCATAGGGTTACACGTAGGAAAAAATAAATCTAAACTTATCCTCACACTATAAAAACACTTCTTATTTTTTATCTTGTTGTTGTAAATTTTTTATGCTTTATTTTTAAGATTGACAAATAAAAATTATATACCATGGTCCTTCACTATACCTGGGTGATTGGTTCCAGGATCCCCATTCAGATACCAAAATCTGCAGATGCTCAAGCCCCTTGCATGAAATGGCATAGTGAAGCTGGGCACCGTGGCTCACGCCTGTAATCCCAGCACTTTGGGAGGCTGAGCTGGGTAGATCACAAGGTCAGGAGTTCAAGACCAGCTGGTCCAACATTCTGAAACCCCATCTCTACTAAAAATATACACACAAAAAAATTTATCTGTGCAGGGTGGCACGTGCCTGTAATCCTAGGGGAGGCTACTGGGGAGGCTGAGGGAAGAGAATCGCTTGAACCTGGAAGGCGGAGGTTGCAGTGAGTTGAGATCACGCCACTGCACTCCAGCCTGGGTGAGAGAGTGAGACTGTCTCAAAAAAAAAAAAAAAANTAGCATAGCAATTGCATAGAACCCATGCACATCCTCCTGTATACATGAAATCATCTCTTGATTACTTATAATTCCTGACACAGCCTACACGCCACTCAATTTGTGTCGATTCAACATAGTTTTTTGCTTTTTGAAACTTCGGGGATTTTTTTTCTCAAAATATTTTTGATTTATTGCTGATTCAATAAACATGTGTAAACCCCAGAGATATGGAGGAGTGACTGTCTATTTATAGTAGTATGAAAGATGATGTGTTGATACGTGTCCCTGTGGAGATGAGACTAACAAGGCCTATGACTCTACAAATGTTTCATCGTGGAATGACTCTGCCAGCTTTCCAGATCTGCAGAGAGTAAGAATATCACTTGTTCATCTGATTCACCATCCTTGGAACCTCCTATGTGCTGCATCTTTGGATGGAAATTGGAGTCTCAGAGACAATTCAGGCTCCACCATGCTTCCAGAAGCTCAGAGTCCAGGGCTGAGAACCCAGCGGAGAACAGATGGGGTTATGTGGACGTGGTAATGATAACACCGGAAGCCTTAGGCAAGAAAAGAGTCCCATTGAAGAAACCATGAGGGCAGACATGTTTACTTGAAGAATAGAAAACTACATTGAAATTATAAAAAAAATTTATAAGTTTTACTGCTGACAGAAGGCTGAAAGATACTCTGAGGAAAGGTGGAATAGCACGTATCTAAGTGCCGTGTTAAGAGGGAGCCTCTTATATGTTTGGAATTGTGAGTTCCTCAGTGTGATCGCAGCCTCAAGTAGACTAGGAAGTAAGCCAGTTAGGTTGGAGAGGTGGGCAGGGGTCAAGTGAAATGGAGAATTGTGGGCTAAGCAAGTGTGTTTTCTCTCCAGCAGGCAGTGGGGACCTTAGACATTTGTAAGCAAGAGAGAGGCATGTTCAGATTCGTGGTGTGAGGAAGAGCGATGCCCTAAGATGCAGACTCACGCCTTCAGAGTCCAGCTGCTGGTACATGGGAGCTGGCAACCCGGTTTTGAGACAGGGCTATTGTCTCCCTAGAAGATCCCATCAAGGCCTGACTGTGGTGCTAGTGGACAGAAGACAACTTTGGATCTGCGCTCAGCATTTGGAAGTTCCGTGTTACACGCTGGTATCTGTTGGGGGTGTCTTGGGCCTCTGAGAAGGGCGAGTGATTTTTCTCTGTGTGAAAACGCAGTGATTCAACTGTGCGTATGTCACCTCCTGAGGGTCTTGTTCATCAGAGTCCTGGAGGGAGGGAAATGCTGAGTGAGGGAGGGTGCTCACATTTTCCAGGACTCTTTGGGAATAAGACTAGCCACGAGGCTGGGCGGAGGAGCACCTACCTCCCTGTTCACTGTTCTGTTCCCTGCAGGCTCTTGGTCCATTACAACAGCATCTGTAGAAGACGGAAGTCGTCAAAACAGCTCGGAGGGCACTTCTGGGTCCTCATTTCATAAGCAGATACCAACATACAGGGGGAGGCCATAGGTGCCTGAGGTCCCTCAGTTGCCAACAGCAGACTCAGACATTCTATCTCTCTGAGCTCAAGGATCCATCCCATGTATAGCTCTGAGTTCCCATCCTATTGATTCTGTGTCCCACTTTCTGCCTGTCATGGAACCTTCTCCTGGATGTGAGTGGCTGCAGGGGATGTGAGGATACGGTTCAGAATCAGGCAATGGTCTGTGAGCTGAAGGCAGAGGCAGGGAGTCTGGTGCTCTCTCTAGAAAGTCCTGCCTCTGTGGCTCCTGCCTTGGGCCAGGGACCATCCAGTCTGTGAGGAACACACACCTGAGTGCTCCCATCCTGCTTCCCCACATGGCCCTGAGCTCTCTGGCTTCTGCTTCGTGAGACTTACTCTTTTTGTTGGCACACCAGCGATGAAGGAGAAAGAAGAGGAGGATAGCAAAGGGGATGATGACCACTGAGGTCCCAATCAGAACGTGCAGGTTTCTGGAGTTACCTGGAGGAAGACAAGACACCAATAAGAAGCTAATCATAGCAGTTCCTCTATATGAATTGTCTCACATTTCTTGATTGACAGGTAACCACATACAACGTCTCTTTAGGACAAGCACCCAGATGGCGGGAGACCTAGCTTCCTCCTGCTTTCTCAGTTGTAGTAACCATAGAACGTGCTGAGGATACAACTGCTTTAGTTTAGATGTTTGACCCCTTCAAACCTCACATTGAAATGTAACCCCCAGAGTGGGAGGTTGGGCCTCTTGGGAGTTGTTTGGGTCATGGAGGTGGATCCATCATGAACAGATCAATGCTGTTCCAAGGAGACGGGGTTAGCAAGTTCCCCCTCTATTAGTTCCTGGAGAACTGGTTGTTAAAAGAGCTTGGAAGCTCCATCGCTCCCCCTCCCCCTTGGTCCCTCTCTTGCCGTGTGATCTCTGTGGTCTCTGCACAGACAGACCCTCCTTCCCTTCTGCCAGAGTGGGAGCAGCCTGAGGCCGTCACAAGAAATAGATGCTGGTGCCATGCTTCCAGTACAGCCTGCAGAACTGTGAGGCAAACACATTTCTTGTCTTTAGAAGTTACCCAGGCTCAAGTGTTCCTTTAGAGCAACAAAAATGGACTAAGACAGCAACGTCCTGAGATCAGGAGGAACATCCCAGAACAGCCTGGGCTGTCTTCCTGTTCTTCCTGGAGGAGGACGTCATGCAGTGCTTTAGCTGAGTGCTTCCTGTGGCTCCAGGGTACAAAACCCAGGCTGGGCTGCTTTTTGATTTCCCCCAGATACACTGCATATGGGGTGACTCCACATGTCTCGAGCAGCTTTTCTGAGCCTTGAGGGACTGGCTCACATTGAAATGTAGGTTTCTGTTGTCACTCGCTGCTTATCTGTTAGTAATGAACCTGCCTGTGTAATGTGTTCTCTGTGTGTTCTGTCTCCCTGGAGTGACGGTGAGTGATAGGAATTGGTATAGGCCCAGGTGCATTCCAGGAGGTGTTTAGAATCTTCTCTGGGAAGACTGGATTGGGATTGATACACAGCGAATGTGCTTTACAGTTTCTACCACCACAACCCTCTTGACTCAAAAAAATTACATTCTCCAAGAAAAGAAAGAAAAAATGAAATCAAGATAAAAAAAGTGAAGTAGAACTGACTTAAATCAAACAGCCATGAAATAATGATGTAGCCCAGGAACAACATGCTACTTTTTGTGATCTGCTGAGACATATATTAGGCTGCTATTCCACCCGAGAAGCACGGGGAAGGACCGCCCTCTCCGTCGTTTATTGTTTCAATACAGCCTGTCCTTCTGTGAGTTAGTACGAAATGTGACCAGGGGCTAGTGCTGGCACTGGTCTCTGAGTCCAAGATCTGAGCTCACTCCAAAGAGTATTAGTGTTTACCTCCCCATGATCTATCTGTATCTCCATAGGTGATTGGAAGTAGAGATGAATTGGGGGATTTGGGTGAAGGGGCAAGTTTTATGCCATGAACAGAGCACGTTCTCTATTCCAGGACCTGTGCTGGTGGGTTCAGGAGGCTTTCACATTTTCCATATGATCCCAAGCTCACAGAAAGCCAAATAAGGAAGAGGTTTAACCTGATTGTTTAATGGATAAGATAAAGGGTCAAAGAATTAAACACAGAGAAATAGAAAAATGATGGTTGGTATCCAGTTGCCTTTGTAATTTCTGTGTGTCATAATTATGTATGTTTTATTTTTATTTTTTGAGACAGAGTCCCCCTGTGTCAGGCTGGAGTGCAGTGATGCGATCTCAGTTCAACCTCTGCCTCCAGGGTTGAAGCCATTCTTCTGCTTCAGCCTCCCCAGTCGCTGGGATTACAGGCAGGTGCCAATGCACCAGGCTAATTTTTGTATTTTTAGTACAGACGGGGTTTCACCATGTTGGCCAGGCTGGTCTCAAACTCCTACCCTTAAGTGATCTACCCGCCTTGGCCTCCCAAAGTGTTGGGTTACAGGTGTGAGCCCCCATCCACAGTCTTGTATATTATATTATACTAGGTCCCTTCATTTGCACCACCCCTCATGTGTCTATCGCTCCTCTGCCAGGTATTGATTTAGATGTAGAAAAAAAACACATCTCAGAAAGAAATTAATGAAACAAGGATTAAACTACTAGGAAAAATCAAACCCAGCAAGCCCTCCCTGCAAATGATTCTACCTCACAAGCATAGCTTATATCCATCTTTCATTCATTTAGTGTGTAAATCAACCCTACGTTTCACCAGTGGGGCGGGAATTGCCTTTTCCACGGTCTCCTAGATTCCAGTTACGCACCTGGGCCTCCCTTATTTTCATGTCGGTCACTGTTAATCAGGTAGGGATTCCTAGTTAGCTCTGAGTTGAATCCAAGGGCTGTGAGTATCAAAAACATGCTCCTTGTTCCTCCTTAGTTTCCTGTGTACCCAGTGTGCTCTCCATCTCTCTACAGTTGTCTTGTCATTCTCCCCATCTCATTCCCAGCATTTGAGGCAGAGCCTCTTCCTTGAACTAAGAATGTTTCCACCTTTGTGCCTTCACGGCTGAGAGCTCAGTGTGGAAAATCCTTCCGCCAATCTTCCAAGGGTTGAATCCATTTTTTCCATTAAGGTCACAAATATTATCTGATCAGTGAGACCTTCTCTGTCACCTGAAATTATATACTCAGCATTATCTATTACTTATTTTAAATCCTGGCTGGGCGCAGTAGCTCTCGCCTGTAATCTTTGCACTTAGGGACGCTAAGGCGGTGGGATCACTTGAGATTGGGAGTTTGAGACAGCCTGCACAACATGGTGAAACCTCATTTCTACTAAAAAATATACCAAAAAAATTAGCCGAGTGTGGTGGCGCACAGCTGTAATCCCAGCTACTCGGTAGGCTGAGGCAGGAGAATTGCATGAACCCAGGAGGCAGAGGTTGCAATGAGCTGAGATTGTGCTACTGCACTCCAGCCTGTGGAACAGAGAGAGACTCTACTCAAAAAAAAAAAAGAAAACAAAAAACACACACACACACAAAAAACCCCAGATTTGGTGCACAGATGCTTCCCAATGGATCATTCATTTATTGGTACCCTTGTGCATTCATTCTCTGCCCTCGCATTTACCCATCTGCAATATCAGCGTCCCAAGAGCAGAGGCCAAATGCATCCTGTTTACCATTTGTGGAAGGCAGGAGAATGCTGCCCCACCCCCAAAATGTCCCTGTCTTAGCCTCCATAGCTTGTGAATATGTTATTTTACAGGAAAGGAGGAATGAAGATTGCAGATGGCATTACGGTTGCTAATCAGCTGAACTTAAAAAGAGGGTACGCTGGATGATTTTAGGGAGATTGAGATGGATTATCTTGGTGACCCCAATAGAATCCCAAAGTCCTTAAAAGATGAGGAAGAAGGCAGAGCAGGATTCAGAGAAAAAGGTATGGGTAAAGAAGAAGAGTCTGAATGATGCCATGTGAGACGTGACCAGCCTTTGTGGGCTTTGAGGAAGGAGGAAGGAGGAAGGGGACCAGGGGCCCAGGAACGTGGGAGCCTCTAGGAGCTGGGAAACGTTAAGGAGCAGATTCTTGCTTGGAACCTTAAAAAGAAATCCAGCCTTACTGTCCCTTTGATATCAGCCCAGTGAAATGCAGTTCATACTTCTGAGTTACAGCACTGTGAGATAATTAAGAAAAACATGTTTTCATCCACGAAGCTTGTGGAAATTTGTTATGGCAACAATAGGAAAAGATTCCACACTGCACAGCCAGAGCATGGGGCATTGGCTGAACGAGTGAGTGAGTGGAAGTGTCGTGTGCATAAATAAGCTAAATTCTCTCTTACTGCACGTCTCTTGCTCTGCTGAGTCAACCAGGGTTGCATCTGGTACACTGCTGATACGAATGCAAATTAGTACAGCCATTACAGAGGAGAAGAGTATGGAAGTTCCTCAAAAAATAAAATGAGGTCGGGCACAGTGGTTCATGCCTGTAATCCCAGCACATTGGGAGGCCGAGGTGGGTAGGTCACTTGAGGTCAGGAGTTGAAGAGCAGCCTGGCCAATATAGCGAAACTCTGTCTCTACTAAAAATATAAAAATTAGCCGAGTGTGGTGGTGGGAGCCAGTAACCCAGCTACTTGGGAGGCTGAGGCTGGGGAATCTCTTGAATCCTGGAGGTGGAGGTTGCAGTGAGCCCAGATGGCACCACTGCACTCCAGCCTGGGCAACAAGAGTGAAACTGTCTAAAAAAAACAAAAACAAAAACAAAAACCATAAAACAAAATGTAAAAAGACACTTCCAGAGGATCTAGCAATTCCATGACTGGGTGTAAACCCAAAGGAAAGGACATCAGCGTATCGAAGTGACATCTGCACTCCCATGACTGTTCCAGCAGTGTTCACAGTAGCCAAGATGTGGATCAACCTACCTGCCCATCAGTGGGTGAATGGATGGAGAGAATGTGGTACACACACACAATAGGGACAACTCATCCATAGAAAGAGTAACATCCTGTCATTTACAGCCACATGAATGGAACTGGAGGTCATTACAAGTATTTCCATTTCTCACTCATATGCAGGAGCTAAAAGGTGGATCTCACAAAGGTAGAGAGTAGAATGGTGGCTACCAGAGGCCAGGAAGGGAAGGGTGGAGGGTAAAAAAAAAAGAATACTAATTAATTAATTAATTAATTTTGAGAGAGTGTCTCTCTCTGTTGCCCAGGCTGCAGTGCAGTGGCATGATCTCAGCTCACTGCAACCTCCGCCTCCTGCAATTAAGTGCAACTCCTGCCCAACCCTCCCAAGTAGCTGGGACTACAGGCATGTGCCACCATGCTCGGCTAATTATTATCATTATTATTATTATTTTGTATTTTTAGTACAGATGGATTTTCCCCATGTTGGCCAGGGTGGTCTTGAGCCCCTGATCTCAAATGATCCACCTGCCTTGGCCTCTCAAAGTGTTGGGATTACAACAGTGAGCCACCGTGCCCAGCCTATAAATGTATTTATGAACAGTAGACTTCACACTTAAAAATGGTAAAGGTGGTAAATTACATAGGTATATTTCACCTCAATAAATATTTCTTCAAACAAAAAGAAAAGGGTGTAGGCGTTGCTGGTGATGACATCTCTCTGTGGGTGACAGGCCAGGATGGGCTTCTGGGAAGTGGGTAAGGTTGAGGGGCTGAGAGAACCTCTGATCTCCCCAGGCAGAGCCCAGTCTCCCTCCTCTGGGTCTGTTCTGACCTCTTTCTCCATCTGCCTGGGTGCCTGGAACCCTGATCAAGGGCCTCCTTGCAGGCCATACAGGAGGGTTTGGAGGTGCCCTGTCTGCCATCCTGCCCCCTGACCCCGCCCTTACACCCATGCTGTGTGTTCTGTCTCGGCATCTGTCCATGCTTCTCTCCATCATCAGCAGGAAGCTCCTCAGCTATGGCTCTAGGATCACAAGACATGGGACAGGCATGGTGTTTTCTCACCTGTGACAGAAACGGGCAGTGGGTCACTCGGGTCTGACCACGCGTGGGGCAGGGCACGGAAAGAGCCGAAGCATCTGTAGTTCCCTCCGTGGGTCACAGGGCCCAGAGGGAAGTTGGCCTGGAATGTTCCATTGACCCTCAGCACCGCAGTGAGCCTAAGTTCACCGGCCTCTGCCTCCCTGGATAGATGGTAAATGTCAAACAAGCTCCGGGAGCTGCAGGACAAGGTCACATTCTCTCCTGCCTGAACCGTGGGGCCCGGCTGGGCTGAGAGAGAAGGTTTCCCATATAGACCTGGAAGGAGAAGAGGTGGTTTCCTCAGGGAGGTTCTTCGTTGTCACAGCTCTCCTCACACCTGAGCTGAGAACTCACTCCCCTGCTCTATGACTTAATGCTCTCTTTCTCTCTCTCACCCTCCACCCCCATCTCTCTTCATGTCTATTTCCTCCTTCCACCTTCTCTGTCTCTCTAGGTCTCTGACCTCACTTCTCCATCCCTAGCTATGTTTTCTTTTTTTGTACCATTTTATTCTCTCTGACCCTCCTTGGACTGGTTGACTTGATCTTCCTCTTTCTTTAATTCTGAGTCTCTCACTTTCTGTCTTGCTCATAACTTTCTGCATATTTCTATCTACTATCTATTGATCGATCTATCATTTATCTATGTATGTATCTATCATCTATCATCATCTGTGTATCTATGACCTATCTCTCTGTTATCTATCATCTATCAATCAATGTATGTATGTATGCATCTATCCATCTATCATCATGTGTTTATCTTTCTATCTCTCTATATCTATTTATATATCATCTGTCTGTCTTTCTACTTGTCTATCTATATCATCTATCAGTCATTCATCATCTATTTGTCTATCACCTGTCTCTCTATTATCTATCATCTACCTTTTATCTTTCATCTATCTATATCTATCTATCCATCTATCATCTGTCTCTCTCCATCTCCTTGTCTTTCTCTGCCTCTCAGTCTCTCTAGTTCCCTTTTGGAGTCTCTGCAATCCATCCCCACATCTTTATCTTTCCCTGTCTTTGTGCCCCTCCCTCAGGGCTCTGATTTTAGGGCTTTTCTCTGCTTCCTTCCATCATACGCTCCACTTCTCTGCCCTCTTTTTCTATCTCTTTATGTGTCTGTGAGTCTCTCAATTCCCTTCTTCTGGCTCATTCTGTGTGTGTGTTCATGTCTTTGCTTTTTGATTTCCCTGATTTCACTCCGTGTCTCTCTGTGGGCTTTTGTTCTCAGTAATCCTATAACATGTGGTGCTATTTGAATATGAGCCTCAGAATCCAGTATGGGGACTCCAGGAACTCACAACATACAGGGGTTGGTGTTCTGCTCCCTCACCTGGGGCCATGGTGTCCTGCGACGACGACAGCTCCACTGCACGGAAGGCAGAGGTTTAAGAATAAACACAGCATCTGTAGGTGCCACCAGCCTGGGGCCACACGGCCCAACTCAGGCCAGATAGATGTGTCTCTTTGGGTTCTCCTGGGAGAGAACACTTTGTAGAGGTAAAACAGAATGGAACCTTCTAACCTGTGCCTGGTCTCTGAACAAAGTCAGCATAGAAGGACACCTCTCTCTGGGATATATCTGTCTCTCTGTGTCTTCTTTACCTCTTTATCTCTTTTTCTAACACCTTGTATGGCCCCTGTGTCTGGCTTCTATGTTATGACATGAGGTCTGTACTTGTGTCTCCTGTTTCTCTGCCTTTGTTGGTACAGACCTCACCAAGTCACTTTCTCTCCATAGGAACCCCACACTCATCTTCCTCATGACCACCTGGGGCTTCCAGTCCTAGATCATTCACTCCATCTCCCAGCAAGGGTGAGAGGCAGGTCTGTATTCTCTCACCTACGACCACGATGTCCAGAGGGTCACTGGGAGCCGACAACTCATAGGGTAAGTGAGTGACAGAACCAAAGCATCTGTAGGTCCCTGCAAGGGCAGGTGTCATGGGACCCATGGAATAGTTGACCTGGGAACCCGCATCGTGGAGCTGTCCAATGAGGCGCAAGGGGTCCTCAGTGATCCCCTCTCTGTGCAGAAGGAAGCGCTCAAACCTGACATCTGACCAACATTGCAGGATGACCGTCTCTCCCGATTTCACCAGGGGACCTGGGTGGGCCAGGAGGGAAGGTTTTCTGTGGACTCCTAAGAAGAGAGGTTGTGAGTTCAGAAGGCGTCTCCCTTTCTCATCCCATTCATGGGACCTGAAATAAGTGAGGCTTCCCCTCCATGGTGTCTATCTCTCTCCTTCCTCTCTGTGTCTCCGTGTTCTTTTGTGCCCATAACCCCTGTTGCAGGTCCCTCCATCTGTCTCCCTCCCTCTTCCCTGTCTCTCTGTCTCTAGTAGCCCTGATTCCCTTCCCACTGTGCTCAGTGTCACCTCTTATGCTGTTGTATCTGTTTCCCACTAATCTCTTTCCTGGTGTTTATGTGGGGGTGGAAGAGGAACCACGACAGGCTGCATGTCCAGGCTCTTAGCAGCCTGAATCAATCTCTTTTGGACAGATTGGAAAGGCTGGCAGGAGGTACGAACTCATCAGTAAGGCAGGCATCAGTGTCCCTGTTCCTGATGGGGATTGGGAGCCTCTCCTGTCATGTCTGTGCCTTCTCCATGGCCCCAGCTTCCATAGGGTGGCCCCTGGTGCTGGTTCCAGGAGCATCAACCCCTCCCTATGTGGATCGAGCCTGGTGGTAGCATCAGTATCCCACCCATGCTAAAATCAGTGTAGCCAACCTTCTCCTTGTTTGGTTTCTTAACTTGTGCTTCACCTGGGTTCCTGTGTTGGTTTCCTGTTGCTGCTGGAGAAAATTGTCACAAACATGGGGCAAGAGAGAATACAATGACCCCTTCCACTTCTGGAGAACAGAAATCGGACCCAGTTCTCTCTGGGCTAAAATCAAGGCATCTACAGGGCTGTGTTTCCTCTGGAGACTCAGGGAAGAATCAGTTCCCTTGACTTCTCCAGCCCTTAGAGGCCAACTGCCTTTGTGGCTCATGGCCTTCCCCCATCTTCAAAGCCCGCTGTGGCTGATGGAGTCTCCCTCCCACGACGTTGCTCTAACCCCACTTTCCTCTTCCTCCTCCTCTCATGAGGACCCTTGTGATTACTCTGAGCACAGCAGGACAGTCCAGGCTGTCTCCCCATCGCAAGGTCAACCCATCAACAACCTGAGCTCCATCTTCCCCTTCAGTCCCCTGCCCTATGACATAAATAGTCACAGGGTTCATGGATTACCATGTAGCCATCACTGGGGACAATTATTCTTCCCACCACAGCAACTATTTCTCTGTACTGAATCCCCCTTTACCCCAAATACAGTCTGGGCCTGGATGATTGGACCCTGATGGACACCCCCACCAGAAGCTCTGGGATTCAGGAGGTGGGACAGTGAGAAGCCCAGACAGAAAGCCTCTGACCTGTGACCATGATCACCACAGGGTTGCTGGGTGCCGACCACCCAGTGGGGGAGTGTGGGTGTGAACTGCAACATCTGTAGGTCCCTGCATGTGCTGGGGTCACAGGGCCCATGAGAAAGCTGTTCCGGAATATTCTGTTGTAGAGCTCAGGGACAGGCATCCCGTCTTCTTTGGACAGACTGAATTCGTTAAACCCAAGACGAGAGCGACACTGAAGAGTCACATGTTGTCCTTCAGACACCACAGTGCCGGGCCAGGCAGAGAGGAAGGGCTTGTCCTGACCACCTGGGGGAGAAGGAGGCACTACCTTAGAGAGGAGGATGTGGAGCCGCCCCTCCCTCCCTGTGCTCAGAAGATTCTCCCATTTCCACGTTTCTAAGGCTCCTACCACACCTGGGTGCCCAGGGCTACAGGAAGGACCCATCCCGCATAGACATGGCGTCTCCCTACAGCAAGTGTCAGCTGAGAACTTTGAGCAGGTGCTGAAGAAGCGACTCTTACTAGATTTTAACACTGCAAAATTACTTACATAAAAGAACACAAGGTAGACACAGGATGGAGGGCATGATCAGCTAATGCATGAACCATAATAAACAACTGAGCCCCTATTAGAAGATCTGGAATGTCAGGGTCATGACTGTGGTTCCCCCACCTCTTAGGTAGAATGACAGCAGCCACATTGCAGCCCCTACCGTCATGGAAACGCTGGAGGGTGTGAGTTATGCTCTTGTCCTCAGAGGCCTGTTGTTCCTTGCACTGCTTCTCTCCCTTCCTCTGCCGGTGACACCACTTCCTCCCTGCACACCACTCCTTTGAGCACTTCAGTCTCCCCCTGGGTCCCCACAGACTCAGCCAAGGGAAAGAAAGGCCGGGGAGGGCTAGGACAGAACTGTGGCGAAGCTTCCCCTGGCTTCCTTTTCCTAGTTCATGAGAGATTCCCACATGGCTTCCCATGGTCAGCCCATCAGTCAACCCCCTGTGTCGCCTGCCTCCCGTTTCAGGAACATCATCTTATGTGGGGAGATGACAACCTAAGGTTTGGGGGAAGGACTCACCCACATGTGGCCAGGGCCCCTCCAGCAAGAAGAACCCTGGAAAGAAAGATCATGATGGATGATCCATCTGTACATCACCTCCAGGCCCATATCTCCACTCCAGGCCCATATCTCCACTTCCGTCCTATATCTCTACTCCAGGCCCATATCTCCACTCCAGGCCTATATCTCCACCTCTGTCCTATATCTCTACTCCAGGCCCATATCTACACTCCAGGCCCATATCTCCACCTCCAGGCCTGTATCTCCACCTCCAGGCCCGTGTCTCCATTCCAGGCCCATATCTGCACTCCAAGCCAACATCTCCACTCCAGGCCCATATCTCTACTCCAGGCCCATATCTACAGTTCCAGGCCCATATCTCCACCTCCAGGCCCATATCTCCACTCTAGGCCCATATCTCCACCTCCAGGCCCGTATCTCAATTCCAGGTCCATATCTGCACTCCAAGCCAATATCTCCACTCCAGGCCCATATCTACAGTTCCAGGCCCATATCTCTACTCCAGGCCCATATCTCTACTTCAGGCCCATATCTACAGTTCCAGGCCCATATCTCCACTCCAGGCCCATATCTCCACCCCAGGCCCATATCTCCACTCCAGGCCTATATCTCCACTCCAGGCCCATATCTCCACTCCAGGCCCATATCTCCACTCCAGGCCCAGATCTCCACCCCACCGCTCCCTCCCTCGATTCCCTTCCAGGACTCACCAACACACGCCATGCTGACGACCATGAGCGACATGGTGCTGCCGGTGCAGACAGGCGGCTGCGCCCCAGCTCAGTTCAGCAGCACACAGGATGTTGTGAGGGGCTCATGCAGTTTACATGCTGACCACATCATGGGAGGATGACGTATGCAGGCTATTTCTACCTTGCATGAGGCCCAGTGGCTGTTTGGTCAAGAGCAGAACATGGCTTCCTGGAAATTGTTCCAACTAGAATTGACACCTTGCATCCTTCACTATAACCAACTCAAAACACGTCTCAGATCCAATCTCTCATACAGGAGATGACTGAATGCTTGGCTTACATTAAAGACTTTTGATGTATTTTTGTTGTTTTTATCTGAGATTCAAACTCTTCTTCATGTGCTATTTTCCCCAGGCTGTTCTTTGACTTCAGAGTTCAAGCAATCCTCCTGCCCCAGCATTTCTAGCAGCTGGCAGTATGTCACAATCTGCCACACCCAAGTCACAACTTTTAGAACTTTTTTTTTTTTTGAGATGCAATCTCACTTCGTCACCCAGTTTGGAATGCAGTGGTGAGACCTCGGCTCATTGCAGCCTCCACCTCCCAGGTTCACGCAATTCTCGTGCCTCAGCCTCCTAAGTAGCTGGATTTACAGGCACCCACCACCACGCCCACCTAATTTTTGTACTTTTAGTAGAGAGGAGGTTTCTCCATGTTGGCCAGGCTGGTCTTGAACTCCTAACCTCAAGTGATCTGTCTACTTCAGCCTCCCAAAGTGCTGAGATTACAGGTGTGAGCCACCATGCCTGGCCGGGACATTCTATATGTGTGCGTATGTGTGCATTTATATACATATGGTTATACACACACACACACACACACACACACACCCTAAGCACTCACATATATAGTTGTTTCAAATTTTAAAAAATATAAATTTTGTATTTTTCTTTCTTTTTCTCACATTTGTGTTTCTATGACACCATATACATATTGAATTTTATAGCTCTATTTTATTCTTTTGGATTGCAGTTTAATAGTCCATGCATAACTTTATCAACATGTAATTATCCATTCTTTTTATCATGGACATTTGTGTTGTTTCCGGATTTTCTCTTTTATAACTCGGGCCTTGATAATCGTGTTTCTGTGTGATCCCTTGCATACATATGCTGAATTAATTAGACATATTTACCTAGAAATGAAATTATTGGTTTTGGGTGCAAGTTGGTGTTGAGCTTAACCAGGAAGTGCCAAAATATTTCCATCATGACCAAATGTGGCCTGGAAAGTTTTTTGGGGTCAATTTTCCTGTTTCTTCTAAGGAACAAAATTGATGTCACTGATTTTTCTGTCCTGTTTGTCATTTATGAATGTATGTACATATGCACGTATATATTTGCTTGCCATTTTATGTTTTTCCTCGACGTTACTTTGGAATTAATTTGCTGATGTGTAGTATTTCTGCAAGTGAAAGTTACCTATTTACTCAGCTCTTCCTTCTTTTCTAACACAGACATTTGAGGCTTATTGTCCCTTAACGCTGTTCTATCTGTATCCCCAGTCATTTGCCGAGATGTGTTTTCATTTTTAATTGATACAAAATATTTTCCACCTTTCTTTGAAATGTTTTTCTTCCACTCATTGTTTATTGCTATGTGTGTTTATTAATTTTAAAATATTTGATAATTTCCCCAGCATTTCCTTGTTGTACATTTATAATTTAATTCAACTGTTTCATCTATCATATTACCTATGATTCAGCATTTAAAAATTTATTTTGGTGAATGTTCCAGGGGTGCTAGACAAGTTTGTGGATTAGGAAGATTTGAGGTGGATGTTTTCTAAATGTCAGTTAAGAAAAAAATCATTCAAATGTTTTTCTTTATTTAAAAAAAATAGAGACGGGGTCTCACTATGGTGCCCAGGCTGGTCTCAAACTCCTGGCCTCAAGTGATCCTCCCATTTTGGCCTCCCAAAGTGCTAGGATTATTGAAATTATTAAATGTTTCATATCAACACCCAACCTTATGCACCCGCCGCCTACACAAATGTTTTTCAAGTCTTTCATATGCTTAATAATTTTCTGTGTACTTGTTCTGGAAGTGAGGTGAATGTTGCTATCTCTAGCTGCAATTTGGATGTGATTGATTATGTTTTGAATTATGCCTTTAATTTAATGTGTTTTGAGGTTCCAGCTTTAAGTGTGTAGGCATTTAGGATGATTATGTCTTATTTATGAATTTGCCTCTTTGTCATTATGAAGTACTCCTCTTCATATCTCCATATATCTCTTCTTTGTATGTGCATGGTGAAATATTTCATTCTTTGAGTTAAGAAACTTCTATTGAGGAATACTTTTTATTACAAACATTTACCTATTCTATGTATACAACTGACTAGAAGCATATTTTGCACTGGGCATTATCATGACAAGGTAATGTCATTCTTTCAATATTTACATCTTGTGGATTAGTATTTGAAGTGCAGCTTATGTAGACAGCATAAGGTTGGGTGTTGATATGAAACATTTAATAATTGCACACGTATTTGCCTCTTGGGATACTTCCACTTTTTTGAATTTCAAGTTACTAAATGGTATCATTAATCTTTGCTTCAAGAGCTTAACATTTATTGTAGAACAATGCTTCATGTAATAAATTGTGAGACATTTTTAATGGCACCTTTATTGCAGGAAAATGTTTTCCTTTTCAGGTTGAAAGATTCTAGTTTGAAATATTTTCTTGTAGCACTTTAAAAATGTTGGTCCACCTGTTTCTTACTTTCATAGTTTTGAATACAAAGTTTGCTGTCATTCTTGTATTTCTTCTTCTGTTTTTTATTTATTTATTTTTGACAGAATATCTTGCCGTCTCACCCAGGCTGGAGTGCAGTGGCATGATCTTGGCTCACTGCAACCTCTGCCTTCCAGGTTTCAGCAATTCCTGCCTCAGCCTCCTGAGTAGCTGGGACTACAGGCATGCGCCACCATACCCAGCCAATTTTTTTTTTTGTATTTTTTTTTTGTAGAGATGAAGTTTTGCCATATTGGCCAGAACTCCTGACCTCAAATGATCCACCTGCTTTGGCCTCCCAAAGTGCTGGGATTACAGGTGTGAGCCACTGTGCTCAGGCTATTTATTCCTTTTTATATAATATGAATTCACATTCATACATACCAGGGGTTAGGATTTCAACAAACGTTTCTGGGGGAGACCACTCAAAACACAGCACTCATCCTTGGTTATTTCCAGCCATGGAGCCTGTATCAATATCCTGGTGAATTATCTAAGCTGTCCACCTACCTACCCCAAATCCTCATGGTCACATAAAAGGCTAGTATAGTATAATAATTTTTCTTTCCCTGCTTATCTACAGTGATGAAGAAACGAATATTCAAAGGGAAAAATCTTAGCTTTAGGTATAGGGTAATTCTTCTTCCTATTTTTAAATAACTTCAACCTTTACTGTAGATTAAAGGTATGCATGCAGGTTTGTTACATAGGCATATTGTGTGACTCTGAGGTTTGTGGTTCCAACAATGCCATCACCCAGGCAATGAGCATAGAATCCAACAGGTGTTTCTTCAGCCTATACCTCCCTACTCCTCCCCCCATCTGTAGTCCTCGGTATCTGTTGTTTCCATCTTTATGTTCATGTGTATTCAATGTTTGGTTCTCAGTTATAAGTGATAACATGTGGTATTTGGTTTTCTGTTCCTGGGTTAGTTCACTTAGGAGATTGACCTCCTGCTACATTCATGTTGCTGCAAAGGACATGATTTCATTATTTTTTATGGCCATGTAATGTTCCATGTGTATATGTAGCACATTTTCTTTAACTAATCCACTGTTGGTGAGCACTTAGGTTGACTGCAAATCTTTGCTATTCTGAATTGCACAGCAATGAATATACTAGTGCATGTGTCTTTTTGACATAGTTAATTACCTTCCTTTTGGTATATACCCAGTAGTGGGATTGCTTGATTGAATAGTAGTTCTATTTTAAGTTATTTGAGAAGTCTCCAAACTGCTTATCACATTGGCTGAACTAGTTAACATTCCCACCAAGAGTGTATAAGTGTTCCCTTTTCTCCACAATCTTGTCAGCATCTGTTATTAAAAAAAACAAAAAACTTTTTAGTAATTGCTTCTGCTTCTCTGATTGTTGTGAGATGGTATCTCACTGTGGTTTTAATTTGCATTTCTCTGATGATTACTGATAATAAGCATTTGTTCATATGTTTTTTGGCCATGTGTACATCTTCTTTTGAGAAGTGTCTGTTCATGTCATACTTAATTGAGGTTTTTTGGTTTTCTGCTTGTTGATTTGTTTACATTCCTTATAGATTCTGGATATTAGAACTTTGTCAGATGCATAGTTTGCAAATATTTTCTCCCAGTCTGTAGGTTATCTGTTTACTCTGTTGATACTTTCGTTTGCTGTGCAGAAGCTCTTCAGTTGAGTTAGGTCCCAATTTCTGTCTTTGTCACAATTGGTTTTGGGGAGTTAGCCATAAATTCTTTGCCAAAGTCTATCTTGAGAAGGATATTTCCTAGGTTTTCTTCTAGAATTTTAATATTTTGAGGTTTTACATTTAAATCTTTAAACTATCTTGGGTTAATTTTTGTATATAGTGAGAGTTAGGGGTCCAGTTCTATTATTTTGCATATGAGTAGTCAGTTATCCCAGAACTATTTATTGAAGAAAGGGTACTTTCCACATTGCTTGTTTTTGTCAATTTTTTCAAAGATGATTGTAGGTATGTAGCCTCATTTCTGGGTTCTCTATTCTGTCTCATTGGTCTATGTGTCTGTTTTTGTAGTAGTATCATGCTGTTTGGGTTACTATAGCATTGTAGTATAGTTTGAAGTTGGGTAATGTGATGCCTGGGCTTTGTTCTTTGTGCTTAGGATTCCTATGTGTATTCAGGCTCTTTTTTTGGTGCCAAATACATTTTAGAATAAATTTTTATAATTTCGTGAAAAATGACATTGCATTTTGAAATGGATAGCATTGACTCTGCAATTTGTTTTTGGAAGTATGGCGATTTTAACTATTTGTTCTCCTAATTCATGAGCATGGAATATTCTTCCATTTGTTTGTATCATTTCTTATTTCTTTCAGAAGTGTTTTGTAGTTCTCCTTGTAGAGAATTTTCACCTTCTTGGTTAGATGGATTCCTAGGTATTTTATTTTCTTTGTGGCTAGTGTAAATGGAATTGTGTTCTTGATTTAGTTCTCAGCTAGAATGTTAGTGGTGCATAGAAATGTTACTAATTTGTGTACATTTTTTTAATCCCGAAACTTTATTGAATTTGTTTATCAGTTTCAGGAGCCTTCTGACAGAGTCTTTAGGGTTTTCTATGTATAAAATTATTTCATCAGCAAAGAGAGACAGTATCACTACTTCTTTTCCAATTTTAATGCCTTTTATTTCCTTCTCTTGCCTGATTGCTTTGGCTAGGACTTCCAGTACCATGTTGAATTAAAATGGCGGGAGTGGTCATCTTGGTCTTGTTTCGGTTCTCAAGGGGTATGGTTCCAGCTTTTGCCCATCAATATGATGTTGGCTGTGGGTTTGTCATAGATGGCTCTTAATATTTTGAGGTATGTTCCTTTGATGCCTATTGACAGTTTTTATCATGAAGGGATGTTGGATTTTACAGAAAGCTTTTTTTGCATCTATTGAGATGATCATATAGTTTTTGTTTTTAATTATGTTTATGAGGTGAATCACATTCGTTGACTTTGTAGGTTGAACCAACCTTGCATCCCAAAAATAAAGCTTACTTGATCATGTGAATTAACTTTTGATGCACTGACAGATTCAATTTGCTAGCATTTTGTTGAGGATTTTATGTCTATGTTCATTAAGGATATTTAGTTGTAGTTTTCTTTTTTTCATTATGTCTCTGACAGATGTTGGTATCATGGTGATGATGGCTTCATAGAATGAGTTAGGAAGAAGCCCCCACTCCTTGATTTTTTCCAAAAGTTTCAGTAAGATCGGTATCAGTTCTTCTTTGTATGGCTGTTGGATTTTGGCTGTGAATCCGTCTGGTCCTGGGCTATTTTTAGTTAGTAGGGTTTTTATTACTGATTAAATTTCTGAACTTGTTATTGGTCTGTTCAGGTTTTCACTTTCTTCCTGGTTGAAATATGATAAATTTTGTGTTACCAGGAATTTATCCATTTCTTCTAGGTTTTCTAGCTTGTTTGTATAGAGGTGTTCATAATAGTCTTTGACGATCTTTTCTATTTCTGTGGGATTGTTCGTAACATTGTTTTGTCAGTTCTATTTGTGTTTATTTGGATCTTTTCTCTTTTTCTTTGTTAATCTAGCTAACAGTCTATGAATTTTGTTTATTTTTTTTCAAAGAAAAACTCTTGGTTTTATTTATCTCTTGTATGGACTTTTTGGTCTCAATTTATTCAGTTCTCTCTGACTTTAGTTATTTCTCATCTTTTGCTGGCCTTGGGTTTGGACTGTTCCTTTTTTTTAATAGTTCCTCTAGATGCAGTGTTAAGTCACTAATTTGAGATCTTTCTAAACTTCTGATGAGGCATGTATTGCTATAAATTTTCCTCTTATCACTGCTTTAACTGCATCCCAAAGGTTTTGGTAAGTTTGTTTCTATTTTTATTAATTTTAAATAATGTTTTGTGATTTCTGCTTTAATTTCATTGTTCACCCAAGAGTTCTCAAGGGGTACAGTTCCAGCTTTTGACCATTCAATATGATGTTGGCTGTGGATTTGTCATAGATGGCTCTTAATATTCATTCAGAAACAAGTTGTTAAATTTCCATGTTTTTCTGTAGTTTTGAGAGATCATCTTGGTATTTTTTTCTATTTTTATTGTGTGCCTTGTTATGATTTTGATTCTTTGAATTTATTGAGACTTGCTTTGTGGCCAGTCTTAGAATATGATATGTTTTTTGTGTGTGCAGATAAGAAGAATCTATATTCTGCAGTTGTTGGGTGGAGTACTCTGTAGATGTCTATGAGGTCCAATTGGTCAAGTGTTGTCTTTAAGACCAGAATTTCTTTGTTAGTTTTCTGTTTTAGTGATTCATCTGACGTTGTTAGTGGGATACTGAAGTCCCTTACTATTATTGTGTGGCTGTCTAACTCTTTTCATAGGTGAAGAATAACTTGTTTTATGAATCGGAGTGCTCCAAATTTGGGTGCATATATATTTAGAATAGTTAAGTCTTCTGTCAAATTGAACCCTTTATCATTTTGTAATGCCCTTCTTTGTCCTTCCTGATTGCTGTTGATTTAAAGTGTGTTTCATGTGATATAAGAATAGGAATGCCTTCCTTTTTTTTGTTTCCTGGTTGCCTAGTAAATATTTCTTCATCCTTTTACTTTGAGCCTGTGGGTGTCATTACATGTGAGATGGGTCTCTTGAAGACAGCAGGCAGTTGGCTCTTGGCTTTTTATCCACGTTGCCACTCTATGCCTTTTATGTGGGGAATTTAGGCCATTTACATTTCTTCTCCTGATATATCCTTTTTATATTTTTATGATTGCCTTTTAAAATATATTGAATGGTTGTAATTCCAGGGAAATGTCTTTCAGAACAGTATTTATTCCTATCTACATGTTTTGGAGAGTGCACTAGGGGACATTGAAGTTTATTTCCTGAAAAGAGTTTAATTTTAAAATGTATTTTATTTAATAACTCAATGATTCAGGGAATGTCTAGGTATTTCAGAGATTGTTTTAGACAGTTTGTTTTCTTGTGATATGTGACCACTTCATCTAAGCTGAATAATGTCTTCATAATGTCCACTTAGAATCTTTTGAATTCTGTAGGATCTGTACTGATGTCATTGTTTCCTTTCTGATATTGGTAATTTTCCTGGGGTAGGATTCTTAGCTCCTCCTGAGGTCCTGCCTCTAAAATTCAGGGAACAATGAGTCAGATTAGTACTCTGATTTCAAAGGGAAAGCTGATCATCTACCATTTTTTGTTTATGTAAATGGACACATTAACATCCCTTGTCTGAACCTTAGTTACCTTGTTTGGAGCATTTTGCTATAAATCTCACTTCTCAGAGTGGTTGTGGGGCTTGATGTGGCTGGGGTATGGGATGGCTTAAACATAATTTATTTCCAGACCAGGTTAAGGCATGAAGGGGTTGGGACTTGTTAGAATCCTGTTGTCGGACTCCACAGTAAGGGTAGACATTTGAGGCACCCAATCAAAAACCTCAGTTGTTCCTAGCACTGAGAAATTTGATAGAATGTTTCTAAAACATTATTCATGGTCTAATGCACAAAAAGTAAAGTGATAGCCCTGGAAGTAGACAGGGAACCATAAGAAAAAAGAGAGAGCAAAGCTCAGTGGTCACCAGTGCCTGGGACCATCAAGGGGTTATTAAGGAGGAAGTTTCCACCTCTGTGGGGAACAGAAGAGGCTCCCTAGGGTCCACACACACAGGGAGTGAGCCAAGACTCTGGGCGAGGCTGGAAGCTCTGGGTCTCCTTCTGTGAGATTTTCTTTTTTTTTTTTGAGATGGAGTCTTGCTCTGCCACCCAGGCTAGAGTGCAACGGCGCGATCTCGGCTCATGGCAACCTCTGCATAAAGTGGTATGTATTTAAGGCATGCATTAGACAAATTACTAAGTATTTACTAGATAAGAAAAAATTATATCTGAATCTTTTCAAATTGCCGTCTTATGCATTATATTCTCTTTTTATAGTGCAATTTCTTAATAGTTAATGCCAGAAGATTTTTTTTTCTTCCTTTCTTTCTTTCTTTTTTTTTTTTTTTTGAGACAGAGTCTCACTCTGTTGCCAGGCTGGAGTGCAGTGGCACGATCTCGGCTCACTGCAACCTCCGTCTCTCGGGTTCATGCCATTCTCCCGCCTCAGCCTCCTGAGAAGCTGGGACTACAGGCACCCTCTACCATGCCCAGCTATTTTTTTTTTTTTTTTTGTATTTTTAGTAGAGACGGGGTTTCACCATGTTCGCCAGGATGATCTCTGTCTCTTGAACTCGTGATCCACCTGCCTTGGCTTCCCAAAGTGCTGGGATTACAGGCATGAGCCACTGCACCTGGTCGCCAAAAGATATTTTTAAAAACCTAAATGCCACTTGAAATGAATAAGACCCTCAATAATTCATGGGATATACATGTGAACTTATGACATATGATGAAATAAGCAGGTTACAAAATTGTAATATATCAAGCAAGGTAGAAAGCCATGGCAGAAAAAGAGACAAGCATTTTCAAGATAAGGAATGAAAGAGGGGAAACAGTACTATTGATTTTACAGATTTTACAAAGATATCTTAGGTGTGTTTTCCTAAATAATAAATGTACCCTCCTTTTGACCTTTATGTAATGAAATAACCATGCACACATTTTCAAATAATACTTCATTTACTTGACTTTATGCTTGAAAATTGAAGTATGGTGCTGTTTGTTATTTTCATTTATGCATTTTACTACCTTGTAATATTCCACTGAGTCTATTTACCACACTATGTTTATTTTTTTCGTAGGTGGACTTTGGTATTTTATAGCTTTGGCTAATAGGAACAGCATTCCTATAACAGTTGTGAGTGTATCATGACACATAAGTAGACATTTATCTCTAGGGTACATAATTAAGTACATAATTAAGAAGGGTCACAGCCATGTGCCTCCTCTTTTTAACTAGATAATTCCAATACACTTCCTTAATTGATTAAAGCAATTTGTACTCTTACTATTAATGTACTAAAATTCTACATGTTCAATATTCTTTCCAAAAAATGATTTTGCTACTTTTTTCTTTTCTTGAGACTGAGTCTTGCTCTATCACCCAGGCTGTAGTGATCTCGGCTCACTGCAACCTCCGCCTCCTGGGTTCATGCGATTCTCGTGCCTTGGCCTCCCAAGTAGCTGGGATTACAGGCAGGCGCCACCATGTCTGGCTAATTTTTGTATTTTTAGTAGAGACAGCGTTTCACCATGTTGGCCAGGCTGGTCTCGAACTCCTGACCTCAGGTGATCCTCCTGCCTCGGCCTCCCAAAGTGTTGGGATTACAGGCATGAGCCACCACACCCGGCCTATTTTTTTCTTTTCCCTCCATTGTGCTATGATTTTTGACATTACAATTTTACTGAAACTACACCATAAGAATGAAGCAGAAATTATTATAACCTTTAAATAAACTTTACAACTGGTTCATACTCGTGTGAACGACAATTCTTTTGACTACTTCCCAACTGTGCATTCAATGGCGTCATATGGGCACCCTGAAGTTGGCCATAAAGGACGTATTTATACCACACTAATCAGCAAATACCATAAATCTGGGGCTTTATATGTTCAGAGTTTTCTTAAGAAAATAATTTTTTCAGAGAGCCAGTTTAACAGAATACCATGAGGCTGAGCCTTCGAGCGTTAGTGTGCTCATTCTGAGAGATGATATTTCTGGACAAAGTACACAGGTATCATCCGATGAAGAGTGAAGGGAATTCAGGGTCCAGAGAGGGTGCTAGGGCATCATTTCAGACTCATATTTCCCTTTTTTTTTTTTTTTTTGGAGATGGAGTCTTGCTCTGTTGCCCAGGCTGGAGTGCAGTGGCAAGATCTTGGCTCACTGCAACCTCCGCCTCCCGGGTTCAAGCTATTCTCCCGCCTCAGCTTCCTGAGCAGCTGGGATTACAGGTGCTCACTGCCACACCCAGCTAATTTTTGTATCTTTTAGTAGAGACAGGGTTTCACCATGTTGGCCAGGTTGGTCTCGAACTTCTGACCTCAAGTGATCCGCCCACCTCAGCCTCCCAAAGTGCTGGGATTACAGGTGTGAGCCACTGTGCCTGGCCTCAGACTCATGTTTCAAAGTCCCAAATACAAATCTGCCCACCTATTCCAGTTATTTAATCCAGATCTATGCTCAGAACTGAAAAGATGGAGAATCAATAGTTCACTTTAGAGAATGCGGTAGTTGGAAACAAAGACAAATGTATTACATGACAGTGGACCAGAGCACGTGATCGCAGGGGTGTGGATGCAAACCCACCATGGGGGACGTGCCTTCACATCACAGAGAGCGAAAGGAAGGGAGGGGCAGACACGGAGGATCCACAACAGCAGGACTGAAAGCACTGCCATTTAATGGAAGTTTAATGGAGGAAGCGTTCTCTACAGGCACCCAGACATCTTCCTGAACCTGACCCAAGCCTCCCCTTCTCGACTTTCTCAGTAGACGGTTTCCCGAATGATGGTCCAGACTTTCTTCCAGAACCTCCTAGGACTATCAGATTCATTGCCAAGGCTCTGGCACTCTGAAGGGTGCATTGTTCTCTCATGTATTTACCTCCTTGCTGCATCTTGGGGACTTCTCTAGCTGTGCCAGTCCTAAAGCAGCAGAATCCCGAGGACCACCAGGACCAAGCCAGCCACAGCCACGCGGATGAGATTCTCCACTGTGTAATCCTGGGGGTGTGAGGCTGGGGATGGTGGACCAAGAGGTCTCAGAGGTCAGGGCAGATCAACATCACCCGGGACCCCTGGATGTCCACCCAGGGCACCCACCTCCCCTTCACAGGACCTGACCCTCTGTGCCAGCCCCATAACCGAGAGCATCTCCTTACACACCAGTCTTGGAGTCTGTCTTGTTTTGCGATGGGCTGAGGGTCTCAGCTGCTCCTGAGAATCAACCAAAAAAGGGGGAGGTGTGTGAGGAGTTGAAGAGACTTAAGCCAACATGTCCCTCAGTTGCTGCATTCCTTTGTGTCTACACTTCTCCTAACTGCTCTGTAGTTGTGTGATAGAACCTTTCCCTGCCGTGGCAGAGGTACATTCGCATACATACATACATATATGCATAGGTGTAAATATGTGTGTATACATAATATGTGTTATGCATATGTGTATACATAATATGTATTATGCATATGTGTATAGATAATATGTATTATGCATATGTGTATGCATAATATGTATTATAAGATATAGTGTGAGTATATATAAATATATAATATATAAGATATATAATAGTGTGTGTATACATATAAATATATAATAAGATATGTAATAGTGTGTGCATATATAAATATATAATATATAATAAGATATATAATAGTGTGTATATATAAATATATAATACATAATATATTATAAGATATATAATAGTATGTATATATAAATATATAATACATAATATATAAGATATATAATAGTGTGTGTATATATAAATATATAATACATTATATATTATAAGATATATAATAGTATATATAAATATATAGTACATAATATATAATAAGATATATAATAGTGTGTGTATACATATAAATATATAATAAGATATGTAATAGTGTGTGCATATATAAATATATAATATATAATAAGATATATAATAGTGTATATATATAAATATATAATACATAATATATTATAAGATATATAATAGTATGTATATATAAATATATAATACATAATATATAAGATATATAATAGTGTGTGTATATATAAATATATAATACATTATATATTATAAGATATATAATAGTATATATAAATATATAGTACATAATATATAATAAGATATATAATAGTGTGTGTATACATATAAATATATAATAAGATATGTAATAGTGTGTGCATATATAAATATATAATATATAATAAGATATATAATAGTGTATATATATAAATATATAATACATAATATATTATAAGATATATAATAGTATGTATATATAAATATATAATACATAATATATAAGATATATAATAGTGTGTGTATATATAAATATATAATACATTATATATTATAAGATATATAATAGTATATATAAATATATAATACATAATATATAATAAGATATATAATAGTGTGTGTATATATAAATATATAATACATAATATATATTATAAGATATAATAATGTGTGGGTAATATAAATATATAATACATAATATATAAGATATATAATAGTGCATATATAAATATATAATACATAATATATATTATAAGATATAATAATGTGTGGGTATATATAAATATATAATACATAATATATATTATAAGATATAATAATGTGTGGGTATATATAAATATATAATACATAATATATAAGATATATAATAGTGTATATATAAATATATAATACATAATATATATTATAAGATATATAATAGTGTGTGAGTATATATAAACACATACATATATATTTGAAGTGAGAAGAGTATTATATAATTTAGAAACAAACAAGTTTGTCCTCCATTTTCTTGTGGTTAATGTAATTATTATCAATAAATCAGAAGAGATCATTTCGGAAAGGATTGAAAGGGAGTGTGTCTGTGGTAAGTTAATAGGAACTAAAATTAGCATACCCAAACCAATAGCTTTCTCATCCATACGTAACTAATTTTAGAAAATAGAAAGGAATCAAAGACTTTCAAATTATTCAAGTAGTAAAACAATGCTTAAAATTCACAATGTCCACAATTTTTATGAATACAACTTCAAGCATCTGCTAACTGTATAAAGTTTAATTTTAAATGTATTGGATACAAAGACATTATTAATGAGAAGTTATTCTCCATCATGAATGCACATATTTAATTTAATCCCAAAGAAAATCAGAGCACAGTTATTTTACATCATAACGCTACCTAACAAATTAAATGTGTAAATTATAAATGCCAGCATTGCTTTGAAATCTTCAGAAACAGAAAGAGAAACTAGATATGTGGACATAAAAAATAAAGGACAGAAAGGAATTGCACACGAGGTTTGCTGTTGAATAATTTGCCTGCATTGCTGCAGTGAGCAGGTGCATGATCTCCCCTTCGTCTCAGGTATGCACTGAGTATTTTGGGGCCGCCAGGGGAGCCCAGGTGGGGAGTGGGTGGGGCCTCCATCTTCTACCCTCAGCCTAAGCATGATTCCTCCAAGGTTTCTCCATATCTCATTTCAGCCCTCCCTGGCCTTTAGCCCCATCTGAGGTCTCTGGGGTGGGAGCCCAGGATTAGGAGGTCCCTGACTATTTCCACCCTCTCATGGGCTGGGCCCTCCCCTGCCGACCCTCCCCCTTTACTCCCCTCTTTCCTTAGCGTCCTGAGCTCTCCTGGGGGCAGGGCCTGAGCTGAGGTTTGAGCTCAGAGAGGACAGGGTCAGCGGCCTCACCTGAGACCACGAGCTCCAGGGGGTCACTGGGGTGAGACAGCAGGTAGGGGAAGAATCTGCGTGAGCTGTAGCACCTGTAGGTCCCCGCGTGGGCTGAGGTCACAGGACTCATGGGGAATTCAGCCTGGTGCTGCTGAGCTTGGTGCTCTGATCTCAGACGCAGTGGGTGATGGGCTGCCCCCTCCTTGGTCAGAAGGAAAGTGTCCAACTGCTCCCGTGACTGACACAGCAGGGTCACGTTCTCTCCTGAGGCCACCGTGGGGCCCGGCTGCACCGAGAGGGAGGGTCTGCCACGGATCTGTCCTGGAGAGAAGAAGGATGGGTGAGGGGCTGCCCCACCTCGTTCTGAGCTGACACCTCCCCAGGCCTCTCCCTGGGACCCTCAGTGTCTCTGTCTCTGTTTTCTCTGAGTCTCCCCCTCCCCGCCCATCCCCTGTCTCTGTCTGTCTCTCCGTCCCTTAGGACCCCCACCCCTCATCCCGGCCATCACCACCTGGGCTCCCCCAGCAGGGCCTGTGCGGAGCCTGGGTCCCTGACTGAACCTGCTGGGCTCCTCACCTGCGATCAGGATGCTCAGGGGGTCACTGGGGGCCGACCACTCGGAGGAGAGGTTGTGTGCACCGTAGCATCTGTACTGGCCCCCGTGGGAGACCCTCACAGGGCCCAGGGTGAAGTTGGCCTGGGAGAGCCCAGCCTGGGGCTGCCGGCCAGAGCCCTGGACGAGGTCATGTCCCCCCTCCTTGTACAGAGTGAATTTGTCATAGCCGACATCAGAGCCACACTGGAGGGTCAGATTCTCCCCAGGGGCCACGACAGGGCCCTGCAGGGTCAGGAGGGAGGGCTTCCTAGACACGCCTGGAGGGAAAGAAGAGTCGGGACTAGGAGGGCTGGTTCCTCCCACACCCCTTCCTTCTCCCCTCCTGGCCCTGCAGGTCTCACTGTCTCTCACACTCAGTGTCTCTGGGCTCAGGAGTCCCAAACTTCCCTTGTTCCACCCTCCTACATGGGGCTCCGTGAGAGTAAGTTCTCAAAAATAAATAGGGCAAGGAGGAAGACATCCATACCTAAGACCAGGATCTCCATGGTATCACTGGGTTCCGACCACACCCAGGGGAAGTTCGTGTAATGCCCATAGCATCTGAACATCCACCGGTGACTGGCAGCCACACGGCCCACAGGGAACAGGGCCAGGGACAAGGGACAGCCCCTTGGAGAGTTCCTGTGAGTCCAGCATCCAGGAGAGCTTGTTTTCTCCTTCCTCAATCAAAATGAACCTGTGAAATCCCACCCTTGAGCTACACTGGATGGTCACGTTCTCTCCTGAGGTCACCACAGGGCTCGGCAGGGCTGAGAGAGTGGGTTTTCTGTGGGCTCCTAGGAGAGAAGGAGACACTGTCTTAAATGGGGCTCACGCGTCCCACATCATCCCCCAGGGCTGAGTTATTAGAACGGAGATGCCCTTGAGAGCTGACCCCCTTCCTGCAGGCAGAGCCTGGGGCTGGGACCCCTGAGTGTCCTCTTACCTGTCACCACCAGCTCCAGGGGCTCGCTGCGCTCTGACCAGCCTGCAGGGCTGAGATAGTGACAGTGGTATCTCCCTGCATGGTGCTCTCTCATGGATGGGATGAAGAAGTTGGTCTTGTTCCTGGGCTCTGGTGGGCTCTGTTGGTACCAGGTCATGGGGTTTCCTTCCTTGGTGAGATAGTAACCCTGGGTATCCAGGGTCCCCTGGCACCAGAGGGTCATGGGGCTCTCCCAGGTAATCACAGAGCCTGGCTCAGCCCAGAGGCTGGGTTTGGGGAGGGTCCCTGGAAGAAACCACAGGCTGGGGTCCACAGACCTCCCCCGCTCCTCATTCCCAGCTCAGGTCACAGACCCTCTTGATTTTCTCACCCTCAGTTCAGAAGCCCCTGAGATGAGAGTCCAGGTGCTGAGTGTGAGGTCAGGCATGGGAGGTTAGCAGAGACTCACCTGCAAGTGCTTGGGCTTTCTGGCCCAGACTCAGCCATGGAGAAGAGTTTCCTGTGGGGGATTTGGAACACAGAGGTGTGGCTGCTTCCCTTCCTGTTGGAGCACCAGTAGCCACTGGAGCCCTGAGGCTCTCTGGTGAACAAGGCTGCTGTGGGACCCTCCCCACCTCAGCCCAGTGCCCCTCCTGTCCCTCGTCTCTCCACCACTGACTGAGGCACAGAAGAACAGTGAGGATGGACACCATGATGCCTGCTCTGCGTGCTCCAGCTGTGGGACAGGTGACCACATGGCCCTCCATGACAGACAGATGCACGGATGTGGTTAAGTCAGAGCCTGCTGCCGCCTGCCTGGGTCCCCACAGCTGTGAACCCACAGGAAGTGGACAGCCCCTTGCTGGGCCTGTCTCTTATTCCCCCCCCAGTGCAGGGGCTCAGGAGGACCCAGGCCCTCTGCACACATCTCAGCCCAGACCTGAGGTGTCCCCTGATTGCCAGGGATCCTTTGTCTGAAAACCTGCCCGTGGAGGGTGGACCCAACATCATATCTATGTCAGCTCCCAACTTAGCTGGGTCTAAACTGAAAACACAGCCCTTATTTTCTCAGAGCCTCCACTCATGACATCGGCTTTCTTTTTCCCCACTGATGCAAAGACAAATATTTCCCAGCAGAAAGTCATCCTGATCTGGAGAGACCCATTTCCTGCGTTCAGTAAATAAAGTCAGTTTCATTAGGGGAGGCTCTGGGAAAATAAGGGGATGCAGACTAGCAGAAGATGAACATTTAGCTACTTGTTTCTCAATTAATTGATTTATTACCAAAGAGAGAGAAGTGGAAACATGAGAATAGGGACCATGACTAGAATGTGGTTGAGGGAATGGTTTCTATCTTATTCCCTGGCAGAGAACTAAGGGATAAGAATGAGAAAGCTGGCTGGGTGCAGTGGCTTACACCTGTAATCCCAGCACTTTGGGAGGCCGAGGCAGGAAGATCACAAGGTCAGGAGTTCAAGACCAGCCTGACCAACATGGTGAAACCCCTGTCTCTACTAAAAATACAAAAACTAGCTGGGTGTGCTGGCATGCGCCTGTAATCCCAGCTACTAGGGAGGCTGAGGTGGGAGAATCGCTTGAACCTGGGAGGTGGAGCTTGCAGTGAGCCGAGATCGCGCCACTGCACTCCAGCCTGGGCAACAAAGCCGGACTGTCTCAAAAAAAAAAAAAAAAAAAAAAAAAAAGAAAGAGAGAAAACCCAGCAGTGAGAGGTAGTTGTGAGAACACACTAAAGAGGAAAGATAATCCAGGGCTGGGAGTGGTGGCTCATGCCTGTAATTCCAGCACTTTGGGAGGCTGAGGCTGGCAGATCACAAGGTCAGGAGTTCGAGACCAGCCTGACCAACATGGTGAAACCCTGTGTCTACTAAAAATGCAAAAATTAGCTGGGTGTGGTGGTGGGTGCCTGTAATCCCAGCTACTCAGGAGGCTGAGGTGGGAGAATCGCTTGAACCCAGGAGACGGAGGTTGCAGTGAGCTGAGATTGCACCACTGCACTCCAGCATAGGCAACAAAGCCAGACTCTGCCAAAAACAAAAACAAAAACAAAAACAAAAACAAAAAACAAGAAAGCTCAGTGAGAGGTGGTTGTGAGAACACACTAAAGAGGAAAGATCATTCAGGGCTGGGAGTGGTGACTCACGCCTGTAATCCCAGCACTTTGGGGGGCCACAGGCGGGTGGATTACCTGAGGGCAGGAGTTCAAGACCAGTCTGGCCAACATGGTGAAACCTCGTCTCTACTAAAAATACAAAAACTAGCTGGGTGTGATGGCGGGTGCCTGTAATCCCAGCTACTTGAGAGGCTGAGTCAGGAGAATCTCTTGAACCCAGGAGGCAGAGGTTGCAGTGAGCTGGGATCGTGCCACTGTACTCTAGCCTGGGTAACAGAGCAAGGCTCTGTCTCAAAAAAATAAAAATTAGAAAGAAAAAAGGAGAAGGAGAAGAGGAAGGAGACAGAAAGGAGAGAAACATCCCTGAGGTGGAACATTACATGCAACATGGAGTAGGCAGGGAATCCGATAGAGCACTGAAACTCTCGCTGGGTACGGTGGCTAACATCTGTACTCCCAGCACTTTGGGTGGCCGAGGTGGATGGATCACCTGAGGTCAGGAGTTTAAGACCAGCCTGACCAACATGGTGAAACCCCATCTCTACTAAAAATACAAAAGGCTGGGTGTGGTGGCTCACGCCTGTAATCCCAACACTTTGGCAGTCTGATACAGGCGGATCACATGAGATCAGGAGTTTGAGACCAGCCTGGCCAAGATGGCAAAACCTCATCTCTACTAAAAATACAAACATTACCTGGCTGTGGTGGCAGTCGCCTGTAATCCCAGCTATGCAGGAGGCTGAGGCAGGAGAATCGCTTGAACCTGAGAGGTGGAGGTTGCAGTGAGTCAAGATCGTGCCATTGCACTCCAGCCTGGCCAATAGGAGCAAAACTCCATGTGAAAATAAAATAAAATAAAATAAAATATAATAAAATAAAATAATAAATCAAAAAAGGACTGGACATCTCCTGTGGGTTGTCAGTGAATGGAACTAAGCAAGCCACCGCTCTTTCCCTTTTGTCCCGCAAGTGTCTTTCTTGGCCTCCAGGAAGTGAGTTCCATCATGTCAGACCCTATGTTTGTTCCTGCTGGGTTCACTGAGGCTCCTCCCTTTCCACCTGTGGCTCCCCATGGGTTCCCAGTCCCCAGCCAGTGTTGTGAATCGAGCCAGGAAGACCAGCCCTATCACACCCCTCCTGATGGAATTCCCACAGTGTCATCCTGGAGAACAGGGGCTGGGGGCTGGGGTAGGATCAGAGACCTTTTCATGTGGGCCAGGCCCCTCCCTCCACAGGAGCTCTGACACGAAGCTCATCACCATTCATTTCACCCTGACGATATTCTTCCTGCCCAGACACCCCCGTTCTCCCTATGTCATCATGGGCACCTCAGTGAAATCCATGGTTGAGGGTCTCTGTCACTTACTCTGCCCTCTTCTTGGAAAATTTCCTTGGATCCTTCCAGAGCCCTTCCTGAGTGTGCTGCAGGGTCTCTGCCACATGACACACTCTCAGGAACCCTCATCCTCCCCTTAATCTACTGCGCCCACATAGCCAGGTGCAGGCTCCGTTTCTTCATCTTCCCTTCCCCACAGGCCCCGATGGAGAGTGGATTAGACTCGCTCCTGAGTAGGGACTCAGGTCACTCTGACCCCTTCCTCCCTGTGGACGAGGCCTCTGTCCCAGAGCTTTGGAGGCTGAAGGGCCTTGTGGATTCCCGCACTGGCCACAGTCTCCGATGCAGATGGGGAACTGGGGACCTGGGAGGGGTTGCCTAGCCCAAGGCCACATAGCTGGGCGGTGGCACAGCCTTCACTCACACAGGGACATTCCATCTTCCCAGGGACTTCACACTGGAGGCTAAGAGCCCCACTTTGCACACCACATTCAGGGGTAGATTCTGTGTGTGACTAACAAGTTCTCTTAGGGTTCCGAGGTAACAGGACAGCAAATGGATGAGTGAGAGTTTCCCTCACCCCACTGAAGTAGGACCATTCTCTGTGGAGGGTTGGTCCCCTGACTTCCTCTACTCTGTCATCTCCCTAGTGACTGATAGGGGTCCTGGGGTCTCTTCCCTGGAATCCCATGAGGGACAATTCCTTTCCTGAAGGGAAGGTATAGAGAGGACTAGCAGGTGCCTGGTGATGGAAAGTCCCCATAATCAAGAGACATTGCCTCCCCCCCCCGGCATGATAAATATCTGGGTTTCCAAATGGGAAATCTGTCTGTGATGAGAGCTCAGGAGGGGCTTCTGGAAGATGGAAAAGGGCTAGAGGCTGAGGCCACTGCTTATCTCCCCACACTGTATCTGGCTTCACCTCCTGTGTTTGTCCTGACCTCTTCCTTCACTCACCTGGATAAGTAGGACCCCAAAGTGGGCCTCCAGACAGGAAGCAGTGGAGAGTGTGGAGCTGCCCTGTCTACCACCCTACACCCTGACACCACTGTCATACTCAACCTCTCTTTTCCTCTTTGTGTTTCTCATTGCTTCATTTTGTCTGGAATCCCTAAGATTCCCATGTCTCCAGCAGGCTGTCCCTCAGACGTGGCTATATGATTTAGTGTTTCACAGGGCATGCAGCAGGCATGGGCTACCCCCAGTAACAGTGGTCATCTAGGGCTGATCACTCACAGGCAGAGCCATCGACAGAGAGCTGCAGCATCTAGAGGTCCCATCACCAGCCCCAAGACCCAGAGAGAAGTTGGCCTGAATGCCCCACTCTGTCTCTGCACCCCAGTGAGCCAGTGTCCAGGGGCCTTACCTTCCTCGTTAGAAGGCACAGGTCAAATGAGCTTCCAGAGCTGCAGAGCAAAGTCACATTCTCTCCATCATTACTTACTGCAGGGCACAGTTGAGCTGAGAAGGAAGGTCTCTTGTAGACGCCTGGGGAAAAAAATAGTCCTTGACTGTCGAGCACAAGCCTTACCCAGCCTATCCTCAGGGCATGAAAAAGGCATTCTCTCCACCTGTTCTGGGGAGCACACTCTGTTACCCACTCGTGCCTCTCTCCATCTCAGTTCTAGCTCTACAAGCTGGCTCATCATGTGTGTGTTTTCCTGTCTGTCTTTGCTCAGCTTTTCCTTGAATCTCTTGCTTTTTGCCGGTGCGTGTGTGGCTTTCTGCCCTTAGAACCATATGAGATTTAGGGTTCTCCTGGCACATAGAACTGTTTACTTTGAGGACCCTCAGAAAACATAGCCCTGGGCTAAGGCTCCCTGTCCTGGAACTAGAAGGTTATGGGTGTCACCATTTCCCAACAGCATGTCTGAAAGTGCCAGAATCTTCAAAGAGTCTGCAACATGTTTGTAGGATCTTTATAGGGTCTGATATTGCAGGGACCAACCAAAGTGCCCTCACACCCCAAGACGCTGGAAGTGACCCCTTGCTGAAAGTGGTTGGAAGTTTCACATAGAAGTTTGAGTTAAGCCACATTGCTGAGCAATGCCTCAGCATCCCAGTCTTCATCCAGACCTTCCAGGAGCCTGGCTGGAGGGGGTGTCTCTGGTGTGTCACTGAGCCTTATAGCAGAGGAAGGGGGCTATGGTGGAAACTACCTCCAAGATACCACTCAGTCCTAAGCTGGGGAACAAGCTGAGCTTGGATTCTGGTAGTGAATGAACCGGGAAACATTTATTTGAAGGGTTCTAAGAGTAGCATCGTGTGGGTGCGTTAATTGTATGTGAAGGGGAAGATCCTGAGAAAACAAGAGCTGCTCCACTCTGTGCCTGGGTTTACCAGAGGGACCGATGAGGTCCTCACAAGACCCAGGAATCCCACCGGGGGAAGGAGGCTTAGGGAGATGTGTTTAAGACTGTTAAGTGAGTCACAGACAGAAGCAGATCAAGCCATCCCACCACCTAGGTTTGTGGTTTTGTTTCTCCTAAACTTCCTTTCTGTAAGTAGCAGAACCTTCTCATCACCATCCTTCAAAACCTCTGCATTGTTTGAGCTCCTTGTATTTTCTGGAGATTAATCTCTTGCTTGCAAATATTCTTTCCCATTCTGTAGGTGGTCTCTTCACTCTGCTGTTTGTTTCCTTGATTGTGCAGAAGGTTTGCAGTTTGCTATGATCTCATTTGCCTATTTTTGCTTTTGCTGCCTGAGCTTTTGAGGGTTTTTTTTTTTTGTTTTTTTTTTTGAGACGGAGTCTCGCTCTGTCACCCAGGCTGGAGTTCAGTGGCATGATCTCAGCTCATTGCAACCTCCGCCTCCCGGGTTCAAGTGATTCTCCTGCCTCAGCCTCCCTAGTAGCTAGGACTACAGGCGAGTGCCACCACACCCGGCTAATTTTTGTATTTTTAGTAGAGGCAGGGTTTCACCACGTTTGGCCAGGCTGGTCTCAAACTCCTGACTTCAAGTGATCCACCCACCTTGGCCTCCCAAAGTGCTGGGATTACAGGCGTGAGCCACTGCGCCCGGCGTTGTATTGGATTTTTAATTCAGCCCTATTTTCTCCGACATTTGATATTGGCATTTTTGTCTTTTTTGGATATGCTAGGATCATGGTGTCATAATTTAATTTTAATTTTTATTTTTATTTTAAGTTCCGGGGTACATGTGCAGAATGTGTGGGCTTATTGCATAGGTCAATGTGCGCCATGGTGGTTTCCTGCACCTGTCAACCCATCACCTAGGTATTAAGCCCAGCATACATTAGCTATTTTTCCTAATGCTCTCCCTACCCCTACCCCACCCCCCCCCCGACAGGCCCCAGTGTGTGTTGTTCCCCTCCCTGTGTTCACGCATTCTCATTGTTCAGCACCCACTTGTAAGTGAGAACATGCAGCGTTTGATTTCCTGTTCCTGTGTTAGTTTCCTGAGGATAATGGTTTCCAGCTCCATCCATGTCCCTGCAAAGGACATGATCTTGTTTCTTTTTATGGCTTCATAGTATTCCGTGGTGTATATGTCTCACATTTTCTTTATCCAGTCTATCATTGATGGGCATTTGGGTTGATTCTATGTCTTTGCTATTGTGAATAGTGCTGCGATGAACACATGTGTGCATGTATCTTTGCAATAGAATGATTTATATTCCTTTGGGTATACGCGCAGTAATGGGACTGCTTTTACCTGTGCCAAAATACTGAAGTAGAAATGATTATTCACTCTAAAATGGAAGGTAATAAGATGTATACGTGAGCTATCAGATGCCTGGTGCTTATGAGTGAAGACAAGTCTGTCCAACGCTTCCCAACCCTGCATTCAGGGATGTCTCGTTGGCATCTTGATTATGGCCATGAAAAAAGAATTTACGTCAAGGAAATTGGTAAATGCCACTAATCATAGCATTTCAAAAAATGTCTTTTTCAGAATTAGCATACCATTGGGTCGTGACTTCAAATGCCAGTGTGTTGATTCCAGGTGGTGATATTTCAGGAGAAACTACACAGATAGCATCTGATAAGGAGGGAAGAGCTCATAGGGTCCACACAGGAGGTGAGGGCATCACGGTGCATTTATCTTTTCCTGGTCGGACTCTGATCTTCTCCCGTTGAATTAGTTCCTAAACCAGGTGCGGAACTCTGAACTGAAGACATGAAGACCCAGTAAAGTACACCAGGAAGTGTGGCAATGAGAAATGAAGAGGACTGTGTGACACGCCATGGACCAGAGCATGCAGGTGTGCAGAGGTGTGGACCCAACGCTGCCATGTGGGATGGAGCCTCATGTCTAAGTGTGGGAAAAGAGGCAGATCCAACCAAGGAAAGTCAACATTAATGGAGAGGAAAGGTATCACATTTTAATGGTTCTCCATGGATCACCCCAGAAAATGTCCCTGCACTCGGACATTGATTCCTTCCTCTGGAAATGACCAGCAGACAGTCCAGATAGCATCGGCCCTAGATTTTCTTCCAGAACCTCCTGGGATCATCAGATCTGTTCCTGAGGCTTCACGACTCTATAAAGTACATTATCCTCTCTGCTGTTCACCTCCCGGCTGCATCTTGGGAAGCTTCTCTGGCTGTGCCAAGCCTCAAATGACAGAATCCCGAGGACCACCAGGATCAAGCCAGCCACGCCCATGTGGATGAGATTCTCCACTGCGTAATCCTGAAGGTGTGAGGCTGGGGATGGTGGACAAAGAGGTCACAGAGGTCAGGGTGGATCAGATTGTCCACCCAGGGCACCCACCTCCCCTTCACAGGACCCAACCCTCAGTGCCAGCCCCATCACTGAGAGTATCTCCTCACATACCAGTCTCAGAGTCAGACTTGTTTTGTGATGGGCTGAGGGTATCAGCTGCTCCAGAGAATCAAAACAGAGAAAAAGAGACCTGAGCCCAGCCTCTCACCTGGGCTCTGCAATTTTTTTTTTATTACTTAATGTCTCATGATGTGACTTTTACAGAATTTCTAAAAAAAAAAAAAAAAAACCTCTTCCTCCGCTAGCAGGATTCCCTCTAGTCTCCTCATTGAACGATTTCAGTTTTCCTGTGTTCTATGGATTTAAACATTGCTCCTGAGTCATCTGGGAGAGAGTTTTCCTGCATCCTGAGAGCTCAGGATCTGCAAGGAAAGTGGTCCCCAGTACAGAGGTCACTAAGGCCTGTGTGCTCTCTGTGCAGCCTGGGACACAGGAGAACATGAGCCAACTCCCCCGGAGATGAGAGTTTCACGGATCCACCAGCTGAGGACCCAGGCTCCGTGGATGAGGGTTAGTCATCAGGGGAGCCTCAATGTCAGAAGCACAAAGGGGTGAAATTCTGGGGCTGCCTCCCCTTCATGCCCTCAGCCACTTCACCTGGAGTTTCATTGTCCATTTAATCTCTAGGTAGCTAATTATTCGTATAGGCAGCAACAGGTAGAATGTGATACACACACAGAAAAACACAAACACAAATATATATCTGTTTTATATATATAGTGGGCCTTAAAAACTATCTCTGCCTTCTTGAAGTGTGGGTTCACCTGGAGACAAACAGCAAACATATAGAAACACAGCAGTGGAAATTTACTAGTCGTAGCAATGGTTTTAGATATATTGGTAGAGACCTATATTTATGTGTGAATATATATTATTTGTATAGATATACGGATAACTAGGTTTCAATGTCACGTAAGATGTTGGTGTGACCACACACGCGCACACACACACACACACGTATATGCAGAGAGTGGAAGAGAGAGAGAAGGAATTCAGCCGCATGGTGTAGGTTGGTTAATTACTTGACATAAATGAGAAGCAGGCAGGACTGGGCTGAGCTGTGTCGTCAGTGAAGGTCACACTTGGAGGTGACATTGAAGCTGATTCCTCAATAGGAAAAAGGGCCAGGAAGGAGGCGTGTGGAGACCCAGACAGGGAGCAACAGAGGCTCCAGAAAGAGCAGGTCCCAGAAAGGTCTCAGCCTGTTCTTCAGAAAGGAATGGCCGCTTGTCTACAGGGTGGAGGAGGAGGCAGAGGAGGAGGGGAGATGAGCTTCGGGGCCTTGGTGGATTGAGAATAGGCCAGGATGAACCGGCCAGGAAAGAGCGGCCCCAATATCTCTCTCTCTGTCTCTCTGTCTCTGTCTCTGCCTCTCTCTCCCTCCCTCTGAGGTCTGGAAAGTGCTGTAGGGTTTCAAGGAGTGGTACCAGTCATTTGACTTTTTCTGAAAAGATAAGCCCTACCCCCTCCATAGCAAATGTCCAGAACGAAGGAAGTCCACATTTCTACCTGAAGTTTACAAAACCTCAGGGAGCACGTGAGATCAGGGCTATTACGAAACCGGGTGAGAATAAAAATAGGTGATGCTGCAAATCTACTTTCACCAGCTTGGACAAAAAGGCCAATATGAGATTTTAAAAACCCAAATAAAAAATGTCAACGGCGCAGAAGAGGAGCGGTGCACATTCCCTGAGCTGCTGCGGGAGCACGTGCAAGTCCCTGTGAGGCTCAGGTGTGCGCTGAGTGCTGGGGAGGCTGCAGGGGAAAGCAGGAAGTGGGGCGGGGTGGGGGGGGGTCGGGGGTGGATGCAGGTGGCACCGGCAGCCTGGATGCTTCTCTCTCCAGGAGGGCGTCTGTTGGGGACTGGGACACAGAGGCTCTGATTCTGAGGTGGAGACACCAGGATGGGAGCAGGTGGGGCCTCCGTCTTCCACCCTCAGTCTAATCTCAACTCCTTTGAGGTTCACCCCCCGTCTCCTCCCAGCCCTCCCTGCACTTTACTCTACTGAGACTTCAGGGGTGGGAGCCAGGGGTGGGAGGTCCCTGTCTATTTCCATCTTCCCATGGGCTGGACCCTCCCCTGCGGACCCTCTCCCTTCACTCCCCTCTTTCCTTAGTGTCCAGAGCTCTGCTGGGGGCAGGGCCTGAGCTGAGCCTTTGAGCTCAGAGAGGACAGGGTCAGCGCCCTCACCTGAGACCACGAGCTCCACGGGGCCACTGGGGTGAGACAGCAGGTAGGGGTCGGAGCTGAGTGAGCCGTAGCACCTGTAGGTCCCCGTGTGGGCTGAGGTCACAGGACTCATGGGGAATTC